>NW_019805491.1:0-105527 GCF_000001405.40 Homo sapiens | reverse complement strand
TAGTTTGATTTTTAATTAGAATTTCCATATAGAATCTAAAAAGACCCACTGCTTCCTAAAACAGGGATCAGAACAAATTTGTTCTATATGATTTTTACGGAACACTGTATATACTTCAAATAATGTGTGCTTCACAAAAAAGCCTGCAGTAGTGAATATTTAAGAGTTAACAAAAGAATATAAAGTTTAACTTATTGTTCTAGAGAGTAGATCTAGGACCAAGAGGTGGAAAATAGAGTTAATAAATTTCTACTCAACATAAGGGAGAACTTTTAGCAATGAAAGCTAGCCAAGCATAGAAAAGGCTGCATCTCAAGTAGTCAGTTCCCTGTCATTGGAATTATTCAAGCAGAAGCCAGATATATGACTATTATTTGGGGATGGTGTGCATGTGGTGAGAAGTAAGATTATATGACCTTTAAGGTCCCTTCAAACTATGATATGATTATAAGTAGATGTCTGATTAAAAATAGTTCACCATGCACATGGTGATGCTAAAATAACAAGCATAGTCAAATTCAACCACAGCAAGAATAAATTAAATATAACGTGTTTGAGAGAAAACAAGTATATTTTCTAAAATGTAGTAGCAATAAGTTGCAGTGCAAGACACTGCAATGAATCAGTGCTTGGCATGAAGGAGACACAATGATTTAGTGCTTCGGCCTCAGTCCATATGGAGTTACTTATCAAATGGCAGCAATTGCTGTAAAGCATGCTAGAATGAATTTGCTGCCCACTACGCAAACACCATGTAATGTCACTGTCAATTGTAGAGTGCTTGCTTCTACATGTAACAAAAAACCAATGACACAGTGATTCCCTACCCCCATTACAATTTTGATTATAGGATCCACCTACACTTCCACTTTCAGTTATAAAACAAAAAGAAAGCTTGACACTAGGATAAAAACATATTAAAAATGAAATTTTAAATAGAAGTATTCTTTAACTTTTATCAAAAAGTATAAACAATGTTGTAGGATTGATATGAAATTAAACTGGCTGGACTTTCAGCTCTACGGTATATCCTTGTCCACCCAGGTCTGTGCTCTGAGACTGCTCTGTGTGGACACATCAATGGACTGTCTTGCTTCTGGCTTCTGGTTATAATCTGACAATGAAGAGACTGGCAGGAGTGTGGAGGGGGAAAGTTTAAGCCATATTAATTACTCCAGCTTCCCCTTTTTGAGGTTGGTTTCATTTGATTGAATACATGACCCACTCTTCCAGCATCTATAAGGTGATCCTCTCTCCTTAGTCTCTTTGTCTCTGGGTTCCAAGGAACTGCTTCCTCCCCTCTCCATATAGGTCAAGGAAAGGAAAGATCTTGGCTACTGGGTACTGGATACCTTAAAGCTCCACTACACCTTGTGCCCATCTTTTAAAATAATTCATTTATTAAACCCTCTGCAAATAACTCACATGGAGCTTATTCTCTGTTTCCTTTCAGGTTCCCAACTGATGCTCTTGATGATCTGTTCCCTGTATCACAAGTCCTATTTCACCACTCAGGCTTTCATAAATGTTTTAGGTAAATTCTTGCTTCTCATTCTCAATGAGAATGGAATGAAGACTGTTAAGTATATGTACTGTATCACATTATTTGTAACTAATATATTTTAGCTACATGTTTTAATTTTTAACAAGTGTTAAAAAGATAAGTACTGGAAATGTTCATATTACAAATGATACAGTTTGGGGTACAGCCCCACAACCCCAGAGCACTAAGTTGATTGATCACTCTATAATAATGATACAGTCACATAAATGGGTATATGTGTATATTAATTAGAGTTTGGGCCAATAGTGACCAACTCGGTTATTTTGCTTTAGACTAACAGTATAATTTTCTCCCATAGCATTTAATAAACTGTCTAAACACTTTATCCATGCCATTAAAAAAGTATAAAATATATATTTAAATTATTTAATAAATTCAAATCCTTCCTGAAAACTCAGAATGCAACTTTATTTGAAAATAAGATCTTAAGAAATGGAATTCATTAGGTTAGGAGAAGGACATACTAAAGTAGAGTGAGTCCTAAATCCTGTCTGACTGGCATCCTATAACAACAGGGAGAGAGATCAAAGACACAAAGAAAGGAAGTCAATCTGAAGTCAGAGACAAAGATCAGAGTGATATATTGACCAGCCTATGAACGCTAAGCATGACCAGAAACTACGGAGCTGGAAAGGGGCAAGAAAATAGCCTCCCTTAGATTCTTCAGAGAAAAAATTATTCAACTCTGTCGACACCTTGATTTCAAATCTCCAGCCTCCAAAACTGTGAAAGAATAAATTTCTGTTCTTTTACGCCACTCAGTTTGTTGTACTTACTTATGGCAGCCCTAGAAAACTAAAGCACATACATGTTTAATATAAAATGTTATCCTAGTTTCTTCTTAAAAAAAATCTTATTTAAAATAAATCTGTAATTTTGAACTTAACTCAAGATTAAATTTTATTTTTGACCTGATGTATTTAATGTAAAATGTTTGGTTAGCATGCAAAAAGAAAACACAATTATTTTACATAAATTACTAATTTTATTATTCAGATTAAAAATCATATTTCACTTTCAGTCTGGTCAAATACATCATATTTGTATGTCTTCAGACAATCTCACATTTAGAAATATATGCATTTATTTCTAAAAATAGCACATTTTTATCATATACACACAAAAAAGCCGAAAATAAGTTATTAGGAAGAAAAATATATTATACTTTGTATAGAAAACCATGTCATTATTCTATCTATTTCAAAATGAAGGATGATACTTAAATAAAATTTAAATCAAGTGAAAATAAAATGCGAGATTTTTAAAGTTTAGTCAAATTTTATTTACTTCAACATCTTAAATTTATTCCATCATTTCAGTGAACAATAACAGACTATTGAAAACCCATCGATTTGCATTGTTTAAGTAAAAGGGCTTCAATTCAACTGAAAAAAAATTCTTAAAATTAATTAAGATGTTCATTAATTTCCAATATTAATTTCTACTGAAGCAATAGGAGTCCGACATTTTTGTTATGATAACAATGTTATTGTGTGGCTAATTTCCCTTCCCTATAAGTAGTATAGAAATGACTAACAACAGGCCAATCGCGGTGGCTCACACCTGTAATCCTAGCACTTTGGCAAGCCGAGGCGGGCAGACTGCCTGAGCTCAGGAGTTCGAGACCAGCCTGGGCAACACGGTGAAATCCCGTCTCTACTAAAATACAAATAATTAGCCGGGCGTGGCCGCGTGTGCCTGTAGTCCCAGCTACTCGGGAGGCTGAGGCAGAAGAAGTGCTTGAACCCAGGAGGTGGAGATTGCAGTGAGCCAAGATAGCACCACTGCATTCCAGCCTGGGTGACAGAGAGAGATTCCGTCTCCAAAAAAATAAAAATAAATAAATAAATAAACAAATAAATAAACGACTAGCAACAATAATAGAAAAATTTTATTTGAGGGCATAACATGGGAGAGAGTAACCACAGCTTCTTAATTAAGTCTATGTGAGGCATAAAAAGGGAAGCAAATAGACATGTAGTAATACCAAAATATGTTTACTGATTTTGGACTATAACTACCAATTTTATAATTTATCTGGCTAGTAATCTCATTTGGTGAGTATGTGATCCTAATAAAATCAAAGTCTTTCTGTCAGTTAACCTCTCCCTTACCATTTATCTTCCAGTACATGCATTTGGTTTTAAAAGGACAAGCAAATAAAGCCCTTTTTTTTTTAAGTACAAGAAAGGAAACTCATTACAACTACTGGAAAACTGTACAGTGTTAATCATTAAATTTATTAATTCATATAATAATTATTTATTGTATATCATACTTATTCCAGGTAGCATTTAAAATACAAAGTGTGGCAGGCAAGGTGTGTGCACACATCCCCTTTCTTGCACCTACACAGGGGATATTGCTGCTCATTCAAATTTGCTACAGCATTCACTCCAAAGCCACTGGAGACTTCCAGAAAATTGCATTGAGATCTGAACCTATTCTTTCCTAATTCTGCTTACTTTTTCCACTTTCCTTTCACAAGTGTCAGACCCGTGCCATGGTCTAAAGGCACTGTCATATCCTCTTGCCTTCACCTGCTTTATTCTTCATAGGTATTCCTCCCCAGTAAATCTCTTGTATGTCTAATCCTATTTGGGGGATCTGCTTCCTAGAGGACCAAAAATAACCCCCAAGGACAGTGAAAAATTGTTACACCATGAGAAGTAAAAGACATGCAAATAGGTGAATATAAAGCAATTATTTAAGTACCATAAAAATTATATGGCCAGATTGCTCAAGCAACAAAGAGATGTCATCCTGGGGAGCCAAGGAACAATTACCATTTGAACTTGCTCTTCATAAGTGCCTAAGGATGGATCAAATTAAATGTTGAGCATGGCGGGCTCCTTTTGCTCTGTACCGCCTTCAGATTCCTTGTCTAACTCACATATTAGGTACAACTGGTTAATGCCAGTGAAGGAGATGTCAGACAGTGAATGGGATAGAGCCTAAAGTAGGAAATCCAATGAAAGCATTCCAGATACAAGAAACAGCATCTTCCAAAGTGAGGAACTAAGAAAGGGTGAGTGTTGTGGAGTACAGTGAGATGTTCAGAGTGCAAGAAATGTTGACTTTATTCTGTTGTAATTTTTACCTACTTGGTGGTTCATTTACAACTCTGAGACTTGTCTTCATGATCAGCCTGGCACCTGTGACTGTAATGGCCAGGTATATGGTGAGGATTTGCAAATCTACACTGTCAGTTCAAATCTCTCCCTGAGCTCCAGATACCTCTGTACTGCCCTGCTATTGTATAATATATAAGAATAACCTTAAATTATGCCATAAACAATTGTCTACCCCAAACTCTTTCTCCCCTCATCTCACCAACATATTTAAACATTTCCCTTCATTATCTCAATGAGCTTCTCTACCCAGATGCACAGGCCAGAAGCTGTGCCATCATTCTTCACATTGTCCCTTTTCCTGACATTCTGCTCCCCCTCCTGTATATTAATTTCCCAAGAGTTATTAATTCTCTATTTAAATTCTTTCAAATCCTTCTTTTCTTCTTACCTTCATTGCTACAACCTCAGTACAGAGTCCAGATATCTCACGATTGTTACAGGAATAGCATATTTGGTCTTTCTGCCATTTCTTTCCTCCTTCCATATTTATACAACTAAACACTCTAAAACAGACATTTGATTGTATATACCCTGTTAAAAATTTCTTAGTAGATTTTATATAAAATATAAACAATTTTTCCTTATTGAAGATATTTTTTGCATGTTTGTTAATTTTTACATCTTTATTATTTTTACATCTCTCAACCTCATTTCCAAAATATAAACAGGGACACACACCCACATACATATACAGACACACTTGCTCACACATGCAACTCCAATGGTGCGTGACTCTATTTATTCCCAGATCAGTTTTTCCTTTGTTCTCTCTCTGTAATTTAAATCATAGTTCCCACTGCCTGCACTGTTCTTTACATTCTTTTTTCAGGCAGACTCTTTAACCATCTTTGGGAGAGCCTGGCATTCTTATCTAAAGGTGGAAGCATCCTTCAGAATGTAAAATCATCTCCCAGAACTCAGAATCCTTCAGTTTAACAGAAAATTGCCTTCTAATAGATATTTGTGAATATGTGTGTGATCCTCTGGCTGTGACCAGAAATGCCTACACAAATAACCAGTCCCCTAGAGACCATTCTCATTCCCCTAGAGGCTTCCTGGAGCATCAGGAAGTAGTCATCATAAAATGTCATTCCAATAAGCTGGGTGGTAACTGGTATAAATAAATAAATGTAATGAACAAAATGTTATATCAACAAGTCAACCCTGATTTGTAAAATAATTTCTATCCACAGCGAGAATCCTATGCATAGATGTGTTTTTAAATATGTGCCACCATCCAAAATCTAGACTCTTTTTAGACTTATATTTATGATAAAAAACTAAAGCCTTTAGATATCAATAAATAGTTAAATGGGTGGTCAAAAATATACTGGGCTATTTTGTAGTTGGGACACCGGCTGTAAAAAAATAACAATTTGAGTCACTGTTGAGGCAGCAAATATAATGTAACAGCAGAGACAAGATGACAGTTTGATGTGAAAATATCCATCAACCCACATGGTTTGTGTGACACTGATTCTATAGAATGGCTCTAACCTATCCATCCAGTGGATGTTTTATGAACTCAGACAACCAATGCTTTCAACTTTATGGATAGAATGGTACAAAACAAAAAAAAGTCATTTAAATTCATTCAATGATACATCAATTTTCTCAACTTCCATGATTTATTAATGTAACGAGAAAGTACAATTGAATTTCAAATAATGTTGATGCTATTCTGAGGTGAAAAATAAGCTTCAGCGGATGTTCAAATCAACAGAGGAGCTAGAATATGAGAAACATGCAACTGTCATCTACTTTTCCTGAGGCATATCTGCTGTGAAAGGTTAGACAGCCCTCTATAGTTCAAATGGCTAAAATGTATTTCCATTTGATTTCTCACTCATTTATTCAAAAACAATGTTAGGACTGTATTATTTGCAAGACATTGTGCTCCATATTAAAAATGTAAAATGAAAAAGACAGAATTCTAATCTCAAGAACCAATTGCTTGTTGTTGAGTACCAACAACCGAAGTGCAATGCATGACTGAAAGACAACTAGCACAGACCCTAAAAACATGACTTCTGAAGACAGAATGTTTGTTTAATCCTGACACATTTACCTAATAACTATGTTGCTTTATACAATTACTCAAACTCTATATGCTTTTCACAATTATAAAATGAAGAATAATAATAGTATCAATCTCAGAGGGTGTTATGAGGATTAAATAAGTTCATACTAATAAATTGCTGAAAACAGGGCTTAGCATACAAGAATAAGGTGGTTAGCAATTATTAGCTATAATTAACATTTGTGTAAAAAGAGTAACAACAGCAATTCAGAGAGGGAACACAAATGCAAGGTTGCCTGATGCTCTTTAGTGAAAAATAATTTGAAAATGATTTCCAGGGAAATTGCTTCTCCTAGAGCTTTAAAAAATGAGTAGTAATTTCCCAGAATGATAGGTGGGCAGGCATTTCAGCAGAGAGGGCAACATGTGAAAAGGTAAATAGATGAAAGTTTGGAACATTATGATAATTATAGCAGACATTTATAGGAAAATCCATCCAACCCATTTATTCAGATAACCTTCTCGCTGTAAAAAAGATACTGAGGAGTACTCACAGTATGTTAAATGCTCACAAGTAGCTAAATCACACTTTTCCCCCATCAGGTCCATTTGTATATATACTTTCTTTTTCATTTTAAGTTGTATCATCAAAAGCAGTTGGTTTTCTTTCTAATCCTATTTATGCCACTTACAATTACTATGATAAGTATGTAGTTAATTTGAATATTACATACATCAACTAAATTAGTTCCCAATAGTTTTTATGATAAATTACTTGTAACTACTTGACAAAGGTGAGCCATTTAAAATTTTATAGTCAAATTATGTGTGAAAAGATAATAGTCTTACCTTCAAAAGTTAATCATCGATATCTGGAATAAATCTGGAAAAACTGTCTTCAGAATGTTTGTTTTTCTTTATAGAAACCACAACTGGAAAATCTAGCTTATGATGAAAATTTAGAAGTAATGGAGCATTAAACTGCATCAGCAATACCATACACAAAGAAAAATGACCCTACAACAAAAGTTTGACAAATGAATATCTATGTATATGGTTCATGTTAAATGCAATGTTTATAATACCTAAGTATAATTTTCAATTTACTGCTTTAACAAGTATTTTTAATTAAATACTACTACAGATTGGTTAAGATACGATAGTTTCAGTTGTAACCTGGTTTGGTCAAAATGAAATGTGCCTATTGAAAATTGGTGGGAAATTAACCTGGACAGTTAAGCTAGGTCAGATTATAAAATATCAGTAACAACCAGAACTTTATAAATACCAAGATTCATTTGTTGATCATAAGACATTTTTGTGGAATTGGAAATACTTTCATTTATATGGCAAAATAGCCCTTTAATTTATATAACTTTGAAGGACAAATGTACTTATTCACAGTTTCTAAAGGTTGAAATAAAGTTTAGAGAATGTCTGAAGTAAAATAGGTTTTGTTTATGGTATCTTTTCATAAGTACTTGCCCACTTCTCGTAATCCTACACATTTTAAAAATTCTGCTTCATCATCATTCACTGTGTGACATCTTCCATGATGTCTCCTGAGTTAGTTGGTTATATTTCAATTTCCCTGTAATATTATTAAAATGTCTCTGTTAAGTCACATTGTCAGATAATTCTCAGCTTTGTTTAAACATGCAACATATTCCTAGATCATGAGCTATTCAAAGACACTTCAGTATCTTGCACAATATTTCAAGAGGATATCCCAAGTAAATGTTTGGCTAGGCTGGCCAAAAAGCTAGATAAAACACTTCGAAAACACAAGTTTTATTACGTTACTCTTCTGCTCAAACATGTCATAACTTTGTCATTGTCTAAAGAGGATAAAAACTAATTCTATTTTCTTGAATTCTAATTTAATATAAAATCTCCTCACTTGATTTATTAGGCATGTTTCTTGCTGTAACCCCAACTGAAAGCTTTCATTTGAACAGGTTCATATCCTTACTAAATTCTTAATGTCTCTTAGGATCCCTGAGCCTCAGTTGATACCTTTTGTTCTTGACCCATGTATACGTATAATTTATATGCTACTCTCTTCTCCACTTCCTGCATTTTCCCCGACTTCTAGGCTACACAGGTATTTTTCATGTATACTCTTCTCTGTGTCAGAAGCTCAGCTAAACTCGAAAGAGAACCTAGCTTCTGGACGTCAGAGTAGCTGCTTAAGACAAACAGTCAAAATGGAAGTAGCATTTAAGCCTTTCAGTACTTACTGTTGATGGGATAAAGTGGAGAAAGTGTTAATTGCCCCATGTTCCAATTTTCCCCATGGAATAGCACCAGTTCAAGATCAGGTGGATCAGCATAGACAGAAAAGACATAAGGGTAATTCCACTGCAGAGGGAGCCTAAAACAAAAGGATCCCATAGTTTTATCGACCTAGATGGTGTGGAGGACACGGAGAAGGGCAGAGGGAAAGCAAGAAAGGGCTAACAGTGGAAAAAAGCTGAGTTAGAGTAGAGTAAAAGTGTCAAGTTTCCCTGCCTTTTCTTTTACCCATAAGCTCTCAATAGAGGCGACTGAGGAAGGTCCCTGCTAAAGTCCTCAATAAAGACACCTCCAAATGAAGGCACTTGGGCTAAAAATGCAGCTATGCATAAGGACATGGCCAGGCAGGGAGAGCTGAGTCCTTGACTACAACTCCTTCGGAGACTGAAATGTGCTGGCTGTGTACCAGCACATTTCCCCGCAAGCGGAAGATTTCCCTGCTAAGATCTGCGAAGTAAAGCTTTTATAACTACCTATGTTTGGGCCGGAAATATCGCACATGGCATTTCGACCTGAAGTTGGACTCCTCACCCTGTAGCACTTAATCTAACATTGCCTAGTTTTACTATTTGCTTCTTGATGGCAGGAGATCTATTTTTATGTTTTCCACTTATCACACCAATATTTTTGATTGACTATAGAAAGCTCACAGATACTATTCCTTATAATTCAGTTGTGGAGTTGGAAGGAAAACTTCCTTCCTGGAACATACATGTACATGGGATGGTGGTGAGTGCTATATTTACACAATTTGTAAATACTTTGCATACAGTAAGTGCCTGATAACTTAGTAGTCATGACAGTTTCCTAGAAAATACATGTTTTAAATATTAGCGAATAAGGTAATTTAGTAGATTAAGGAAGATAATAGAAGAGGAATAAAAATCACAGAAATCTATTTTACTTAAGTAACAAGAGCACTGGTGCCTATTGAAATTTTCATGTTCAATATCTTCAGACAAAAAATGAGCAGAATTAGTTTTCACTGAATAACTGTTAAGTGTAAAAACATGCCTAATATCAAACACCATTAAATCAAAATTTCTGAAAAAGGTAATATTTTTCCGATGCACATAGGAAAACAGTGCAAGAAAACAAGAGTATCTTACTTTGGCAAACTGAAATATGTTCAGTACTCTCAAGTAAACTGTCATAGATGAAATGTCTGCCCCAAAACAATGGAAGTTACCGTAATGGAATCTATACTGGCTTACAGTGACCAAATGTTAATTTCCAAAATGCTCCCCAGGTATTTTGCTGTAACCAGTAAAAATAACGACACTCTCTTATACTTGGTCTCAACATTGTTTTACTATATTTACATAAGTATTTTATCAACCTGTATGTCTAATGTCTGCTTATCTCCCATCGGGTCCATTGTAAAGAGGCATTAAGGCAACAGAAAAAGGTACTTTGTTTGCATGTATGAGACACCACATTAATCAGATGAAAAATTAAAAAGTGACTATGACTAAATATATTATTTTGTTATTTGGGGATTACCAGGGAGATACCACAAAAAAAACCGGAAATATTCCTTAAATCACGGAACTGTATTTTTTTTTTTTACTAAGTTGACCAAGCTGACACATTTGGGGCATTAATAACAGAATATATTTGATTTATTTAATTTTAATGAATATTTTTGTTGTTTATGTGGAGAATTTTTGTTTTGTTTTATTCTTTATTCAATAGTGTCAGAAATATCTAAATGAAGACCTTCGGATGAGTTCTTTTTTGGTCACACTCTTAAATAAGATTTAAGTATCATTGCAGCACCCCAAAATGCCTTAAAAAAAAGCAAAGCTTTTTAGACTTACAGACGTGTTTTAAAAATTGGTTTACTTGTTCTTGATTTAATTTTGTTTTTAATGAAATCCAAACAAAACTTCAGAAATCATTTTTCATATGAAATATGCTTCACAGTCATTTATTGCAAGCAAAATCTTATCTGTGTAAACTTGATTGGGAGAATTTTGTGAGCATTCATTCTTTTGTTATAATCTCAACAGCATCTGTCACAATAATTTGAATGTGGCAGCTATTTAATAACTTCTGGTTTGTTTATTTAATAGAATGTATATTTCTTGTCTGCCTAAAAACATCCCCTTATGATACCCTGCTTTTCTGAAGCAACAATATCAAAAATTTAGATTTATAATTGGTATCAGCTAGAATTATAAGAATGCAAGATCTAGCTTTATCTACTGGAAATTAAAGTATTATTCATTCCCACAGAAATTTAATTTATAATTAAGCATTTATTTCTTCAAATAGCCTGAGCATTTCAGAGAAAAACTTAAAAATCCCTTTAATTCTTAAAAAAACAAAACTGCAAAAATAGTCTTGTCAACTTATCAAGATTCTTTTAGAAGATCCTTTTAAGAGCTGAACTACTGCAAGCTGATTTTATGATGGATATAACAGTCACATCAAATGAAGTAAATCCCTTTTTCCCCTTTGACAGAAATTTCTTTTAAGTTCTTACGTGGTGAACAGAAGCTCAGTAAACACAAAGTAGATCTATCAATTCCATTTTCTGAAAAATTAAACCTAAGGTACTTAGAAACATAATTTTAAAGATTAGGGATATGTAAGATAAGATTCCAAGAGAACCTCTATTTGCTTTGGCAATGAAAGACAATT
The DNA here is from genome assembly GCF_000001405.40 of Homo sapiens. Taxonomy (NCBI): domain Eukaryota; kingdom Metazoa; phylum Chordata; class Mammalia; order Primates; family Hominidae; genus Homo; species Homo sapiens. Next base: position 93,868 of record NW_019805491.1, on the reverse strand, counting down.
GAGTCACTGGTAATATTACTCCTTTAAATAGCTGAAAGGGATTTGAATTTCCCACTCTCATCTGTGACAAAAGAGAAAGCTAGACCTGATGTACAGCAAGTATTAATCAATAGAAGCCGTCCAGGCCTGTAAAGGTGCTTTGGCTTGGTAAGTGTTCATGCTGAACTGGTTTTTAAAAAATACATTTGATGAATGGAAGAACATTCCATGCTCATGGATAGGAAGAATCAACATTGTGAAAATGGCCATACTGCCCAAGAATCAATATTGTGAAAATGGCCATACTGCCCATTGAATTTATAGATTCAATGCCATCCACATCAAGCTACCAATGACTTTCTTCATAGAATTGGAAAAAACCACTTGAAAGTTCATATGGAACAAAAAAAGAGCCCGCATTGCTAAGACAATCCTAAGCCAAAAGAACAAAGCTGGAGGCATCACACTATCTGACTTCAAACTATACTACAAGGCTCCAGTAACCAAAAACAGCATGGTACTGGTACCAAAACAGAGATATAGACCAATGGAACAGAATGGAGCCCTCAGAAATAATACCACATGTCTACAACCATCTGATCTTTGACAAACCTGACAAAAACAAGAAATGGGGAAAGGATTTCCTATTTAATAAATGGTGCTGGGAAAACTGGCTAGCCATATGTAGAAAGCTGAAACTAGATCCCTTCCTTAAACCTTATACAAATATTAATTCAAGATGGATTAAAGACTTAAATGTTAGACCTAAAACCATAAAAACCCTAGAAGAAAACCTAGGCAATACCATTCAGGACATAGGCATGGGCAAGGACTTCATGACTAAAATACCAAAAGGAATGGCAACAAAAGCCAAAATTGACAAATGGGATCTAATTAAACTAAAGAGCTTCTGCACAGCAAAAGAAACTACCATCAGAGTGAATAGGCAACCTACAGAATGGGAGAAAATTTTTACAATCTACCCATCTGACAAAGGGCTAATACCCAGAATCTACAAATAACTTAAACAAATTTACAAGAAAAAAATCAAACAACCCCATCAAAAAGTGGGCAATGGATATGAACAGACACTTCTCAAAAGAAGACATTTATGCAGCCAACAGACACATGAAAAAATGGTCATCATCACTGGCCATCAGAGAAATGCAAATCAAAACCACAGTGAGATACCATCTCACACCAGTTAGAATGGCGATCATTAAAAAGTCAGGAAACAACAAGTGCTGGAGAGGATGTGGAGAAATAGGAACGCTTTTACACTGTTGGTAGAACTGTAAACTAGTTCAACCATTGTGGAAGACAGTGTGGCGTTTCCTCGAGGATCTAGAACTAGAAATACCATTTGACTCAGCCATCCCATTACTGGGTATATACCCAAAGGATTATAAATCATGCTGCTATAAGGGCACATGCACATGTATGTTTACTGCAGCACTATTCACAATAGTAATGACTTGGAACCAACCCAAATGTCCATCAATAATAGAATGGGTTAAGAAAATGTGGCACATATATACCATGGAATACTATGCAGCCATAAAAAAGGATGAGTTCATGTCCTTTGTAGGGACATGGATGAAGCTAGATACCACCGTTCTGAGCAAACTATCACCAAGGACAGAAAACGAAACACCGCATGTTCTCACTCATAGGTGGGAATTGAACAATGAGAACACTTGGACACAGGGTGAGGAATATCACACTTCTGTGGAGTGGGGGAAAGGGGAAGGGATAGCATTTGGAGATATACCTAATGTAAATGACGAGTTAATGGGTGCAGTACACCACCGTGGCACATGTATACATGTGTAACAAACCTGCACGTTGTGTACATGTACCCTAGAACTTAAGGTATAATAACAAAAAATAAATTAAAATATATATATACATTTGATGTTACCCTACCCTAGTGAAAACTCCAATTAAAGCATATTTACTAGATTTTTTTGCACTTGTTTAGGGAATATTCTTTTGTTATTATAATGAGTTATTGTATAAGAGTTTTACTCTCTTTAATATTTAAACTTCTGGTGTCAAGATTTCCATATTGTTTTGTTAACTTACTTCTTTGGAAAAGCAATTTCCCAAAACCACAGTTAGTCATCAAAAATATCGAGAATTCTTTTCTAAATTGCAATGAGACAATGAGGGTAAAGTCATACTCAAATTAGTTATAATTATGTCTTTTCTACCTACCCAAGTACCATATGGCAACTTAAGTATTCTCAGAGCCATGTTTGAAAGTGTAGAGAATTTGTGTGGATCAATCTTTAGGTCATGTTGCATTCTTTGCTAATCTATATAAAGCCCTGGTGTTATCTTCAGTTCATCACTTGAGCTTTTTCTCTAAGATACTTAGAAAAGCCAACACGATACTGAAGAAGAAGAGTTGGAAGGTCCATACTGTCCAAATCTGAAGACTTACTATAAAGCTACAACAATCATGGCGGCATAATATTTATGAAAGAATCTACACATAAATCAAAAGAACAGAATATACAGCCCCAAATAGATTTACACAAAAATAGTCAACTTGTCTTTGGCAATGGCTGAAAGGCAACTCAAGAGAGAAAGGATAATCTTTTCATCAAGTGATGCTAAAACGATTGAACATCAATACCCCCCATCCCTCAAAAAATAACTTAAATATATATTATATATTTTTTCACAAAATTAATTCAAATGACTTACAGGCCTTAATATAAAGCACAAAATTAAAATTTTTAGAAGGAAACAACAGAATATTTAGGTGGCCTGGATTTTAGTGATAAGTTTTTAGATACAACTCCAAAAGCACAATTCATTAACAAATTTGAAATATTAGGCATTATAAAATAAAAATTTTCTGCTGTGAGAAATACACTGTTACAAAATGAAATAACAACTGATAGTATAAGAGAAAGTACTTGCAAAACAAATTTCTTATAAAATACTTATATTCAAAATATAGAAAGAATGTTTAAAGGTCAACAGTTTCAAATATCAACAATAAGAAAACAATTCAATTTAAAAATCTGAACAGATATTTTACCAAATAAGATATGCAAATGCAAATAAACATAAGAAAATGATTAATTATTCATTATTAAGCAATTCCAAATAAAACAATGAGATGCCATTACACATCTATTAGAATGGTTAAAGTATAAAAATAGAAATAGAAAGTAAGGATATCAGTGGATGGTGATTGCACAGTGCAGGAAGAAGTACCCTTCATTGACAGTGGAAATTCAAAGTGGTAAACCACTTTTGAAAACAGTTTGGAAGTTATTACAAAGGTAAACATAGTCTTACCATACAATCCAACTAAGTATTTATGCAATTGAATTGAAAACCTATGTCCACACAAAAACCTGTCCACAAATGTTTATAGTATCATTACTTTTAATCACCATAAACTACAAGTAACCAAGATGTCCTTCCACAGATGAATGGATAAACAAACTGTGGTACCTACAATGAAAATAATATTATTCAAGGATAAACAGAGATCAGTTATCAAGGCATGAAAATATATGGTTGAATGTTTAATGCCTACAGCTAAGTGAAAAAAGGCCAGCCTAAAAAAAAGATGCATAATGTATTATTCCAATTATATTATATTTTTGTAAAGGTAAAACTATAGATATAATTTAAAAAATCAGTGGTTATCAAGGGTTTGGTTGTAGGAGAGTAAATATTGAATAGGTAGAGAATGGGAATTTTTAGGATTGAAAATTGTGCTCTATGACACTGTAATGTTGGATGTATGACATTCAGTGTTTGTCAAAAGCCATTAACATTATACAAATCGTAAACTGTATTGTATGAAAATTTTAATAAAAATAATTTGAGAGTCTGGGGAATCCATCAATGCAATGCAGAATGTAACAATGCAATCTAACTATATTAAAAATGCATAAAACAACCTCACTAATAGTGATGAGTTGGGAGAGAGGTGCTGACCTAAGAAACTTTAGAAATTTGAATTTCTAAAACATCCATAAAACTAAAAGAAACTATACCTAAGTACGATGCTCTAGTTAAGGTGATTGTCTTGTGGGTATGAATTAACAATTCTGAAACTGACATACATGAATAGTAAAATTAAACAATTCAGCAAGTGGATGACAGACGTTACAAGCCAGGTTCTTATTGTCAGACTGGGAGTTTACAGATAAGTAAGGAGAGGAGGCTACAATGAACCATATGTTAACAGATTAGAGTTAGAGACATCTGTATGAACTCATGTTTAGCTTAATACAGATGCAGACATTTATATATAGGAATAGTTATTGATATGTGTACACAAAGTTTAATATATGTGCTTGTATTTCTTAACTATGTCAGCTTGAGAGGGTCTAGAAAGAATGGTACACCAGTAACAAACCTAATTCACAGAGCTTGGTTTCTGTTACCATTCGCAATACTTCAAATACATGTCAAAAATACATATTATTTGACTTAAGATTTCAGATATTCCAGTTATCTAATTAGTATTTAATTGCTTTTAAGAAATGTATTTTTAAAAATTAGCAATAATGGCATGGCAGCTAATTTTTTAAAAAACTAAAATCGTTATAAACATATGATCTAAAATATTATAGATCAAATGATATGAGAATAATTGTTGAAAAGTTGATGTTAAGTAATGTGGACCCATTCTACTATTGTTTGCATTTTACAAATGTGTGCAATATTTCAAAACTATAATTAAAAAAATTAATGAACAAAGTGCAAGTCCTTGGGAACCTTTTTAACATTTTATAAATAAATTATTTACTACTAACTACCACAGTATAACTGATCCTGACTATAATAGAAAATGACCTGTGTGAATTAATTAGTAAAAATAGTTTAATGTATTTATAAACATATTTTATACACACAGACACAAAAGCATATACACAAAAGGGGTTTAAAGAAGAAAGTGTATGCTATTTTTCTTGATTTTCTTTGACAAATCAACAAAGACCCTAGAAAAATCACATAAAAACCTTATAATTCACTGATACTTCTCTAAATATTTGCTTGTGTTCTTTTTATTATTCTCCTCCCTCTGTATCAACTTATCAAGCTGTTACCTAGAATAAAATATGAATGCTCTTTTCTTAACATTTTTTCCCTTCTACCAGTCTATTTCATGCCTTTTCAGATTTCATTCCCAAATCTGTATCAGCAGAACAAGTGTTGTTCCTGATCTCTAGATGCCCCTAAACAGCATCACTACGTAAGACGCCCCTGGAAGCTACCAAACCAAAATCTCAGAGATCTTGTAATACAGTTAATAGTTTAGTTTTGTTTAACTCAACCTTTTCCAATTTCAGTGACATAATATTTTCCAATGATGTAATGCATATTCAAGTCTAAATCTGCAGATAAGACTTTATGGTACATACTCTAGGAAATGCTTGAATTAAAGTCTTCTTTGGAAAGACCTCCAAAGAGAAGATGATTTACCTGTACCATTTCTGTTGCCCTTTAATTGGCAGTGAAAGACACAAATAAAATATTTGATGTTTCAACTGGAAAATGGCCGGGGCCCAGTTGGAAAGCAATGAGGTTCTTCTTTTGTTTAACTGAAGACAAACAGATTCTACTTCTACGAATTCTTCTGATAAAATACTTTCCTGTTTCATGAAACAAAATAAGATAATAAGATAAAAATGTAACTGTACTTTTAAATGTCAAGAAATGAAAAAAGCTACAAGTGAAATGTGGAAAAATAAATGATCTACCTGTTTTAACTCACTGTAAATATTTTTAAATTTCTCTAAGGTACTGAATTAAATTAGGTCTTTTTTAGATCTGCTTTTGTTTTATTTTATTTGTTGCTTTTTCATGGGAACTTAAACTTATCAAATATGAATGTATATGTCTTCCTCCTACAGATGACAGCTGCTTTTTCTCTTTGAATTTTAAGTGAAGAAGTAAAAAGTGAAAGCAATAATTGTTTTTAAAAAAGATGACTCATGTCATGGATATAGTGTAATGTTATTTTGTTTTGATTTCTAGTAACATTTTACTTTTTAGATATGGATATTTGCACATTAGATAAGGAATGTTAGAAGAGAATTAGTTTTTTTTCCTAAAACAAGTTGCTTCTTCCCATTACTGCCATACCAACACTACATTGTCCCAAGGAAAATTCATTCCTAAGGTTTTCCTCAATTGTTTTTTCTGCATTTAACTAAAATTTTTCAAATTCTTAACAGAGAATTGAATGAAAGCAAATTATCAAAATTACTCAGATCAACATGGCTAATTATATGTATACACATACACACATATACATGGGCACATGTACATATATATAGGATTACCTTGAAACTATAATTTTACTGTGAGGTTTAATTCTGGGAGAGTTTTTACTCTATGTATATAACACATATGTATGTATATATGTGTATATACATATATATGTATATAGCACGTATGTATGTATATATGTGTATATACATATATATGTATATTTATACATACATTGTATTAGTCCATTTTCACATTGCTATAAAGAACTACCTAAGACTGAGTAATTTATGAAGAAAAGAGGTTTAATTTACTCACAGTTCTGCAGGCTGTACAGGAAACATGGCTGGGGAGGCCTCAGAAAACTTACATTCATGGTAGAAAGTGCAGGGGAAGCAAGCACCTTCTTCACATGGTGGAGCAGGTGGAAGAGGGAATGAAGGCAGAAGTGCTACATACTTTTATACAAATAGATCTTGTGAGAACTCACTCACTATCAAAAGAACAGCAAGGGGGAAATCTGCCCCCATGATCCAATCACCTCCAATCAGGTCCCTCCTCCAACACTGAGGATGATAATTCAACATGAGATTAGGGTGGGGACACAGAGCCAAACCATATCATACATATATGTATGTATCACAAATGAGATACATGTTAAAACACAGAAATAGTTCTATGCAAATAGTTTCATATAGAAGCTAGACCAAATGACAAGCAGTTGCATACATAAGCAAAACCCAATTTCAAATCTTATATTAAAAAATGCCGTAATGTTCCTGTTAAAGGGGGAGATACCCATATCTGTGATGAGGTAAAACTCTCCCAGAATTAAACCTCACAGTAAAAATATTGTTTCAAGGTGATCCTAGGAAATTTTTCACGACTCTTTTCCCCTATAGATTTCCCATAGAAACTTGAAGGTAAGGTGATGAAAAGGAACGAAATAGAGTAAAACTAGAAAGACGACATTTATAATATACAGTATATGCTTTAGGCAGATATGGTAGCAGCATCAAAATATTCTTTGATGACACTTTGTCTTAGTCCAATTTTTTAGTGTGCATTCATTATTCTTTTTCTTACCTTTTATTTTAAGCTCAGCGGTGCATGTCCAGGATGTGCTGGTTAGTTACAACTAAATGTGTGTCATGGGGGTTTGTCGTACAGATTATTGCATCGCCCAGGCATTAAGCCTAGTATCCATCAGTTAATTTTCATGATCCCCTTCCTCCTCTTACTCTTCACCCTCTGATAGGCCCCAGTGTGTGTTGTTCCTCTCTGTGTGTTCATGTGTTCTCATCATTTAACTCCCACTTACAAGTGAGAACATGTGGTATTTGGTTTTCTATTCATGTGTTAGTTTGCTTAGTCCACTTGATGTTGCTATGAAATAATACCTGAGACTGGGTAAAGAGGTTTATTTAGCTCTTGTTTCTGCAGGCTGAGAGGTTCAAGGACATGGCTCTGGCTTCCGACTAGGACATTAGTGCTGCATTGCAACTTAGCAAAGAAGGTGAAAGGGGAAGCAGACACATGCAAAGAGAAAGAAACCTGTGGGGTGTCCTGGGTTAAACAAGTCCCTCTCAAGAGAACTAATCCAGTCTGAAGAGAAGTAAACTATCTTGTGAGAGCAAGAACTTACCTCTGCAGGAACAGCACCAAGCCCTTCATGATGGATCCACCCCATAGATCAAACACTTCCCACTAGGCCCAGGCAGTACCTCCCCAAACCACATTATTGGGAATCAAAATTCAACGTGAGTTTTGTTGGGGACAAACAAACCATACCAAAACCATAGCACACCTTAAGATTGAGGATACTTATAGCCTCCAGATGGATCTTATTTAGCAAGTAATACCTTATGGTTTCTAATTTGAATAATTTTTAAAATGTAAAACAAGACAGGTGGTTAAATAGAAACAGCAATAAAATTGAATTTTCTGTCACCAAACAGGGCATATTTCCAAAGTAACAGTATTTGTTTAAATTTATGTAAAATAATTATAACTTGTTAATAACAAATGACTGTTTATTTGCATTATTCAGGTTTGGGCCATACTGTATTATACTTAATTAGAAAATAAGTGAAATAAATATCATACCAATCATTTTTTTTATTTCAAAGCTCCTTTGTCCCTACTGGACTTCTCATCATCTAGCATTTAAATCTCACCACTTATCACCTTCATGATCCAACTTCTGTGCCAAAGTGGAACAGCAACAACTCCTGTCTGTATTTATTTCCACACAAACCTTGTCTTCATGAAGATCATAAACCTTATGCTGAACAGAGAAGACTGCTGTTTAAATTCAGTGATGTCAGAGAAAGAGTCTTGACCATCAGAACCCTTAAGTTTACCTTTGTTTATTAAATATTGACAAATTATAGTTGTATACATTTGTATGGTACAAAGTGATGCTATGATATATTTATTATTTTTATGGAATCAGTAAATCAAGCTGAATAACCTATCCATGCTCTCAAATGTTTAATTTTTTTCTGATGAGAATGTTTGATTTCCTCTTTTAGCAGTATTGAAATGTACAGTATTCAATTATTAGCTATAGGGCCGGACGTGGGGGCTCATGTCTGTAATCCCAACACTTTGGGAGGCCGAGGCAGGTGGATCACTTGAGAGCAGGAGTTCAAGACCAGCCTGACCAACATGGTGAAACTCCCTCTCTACTAAAAAAATACAAAATTAGCCAGGCGTGATGGTGAGCACCTGTAATCCCAGCTACTTGGGAGGGTGAGGCAGGAGAATTGCTTGAACCCAGGACGTGAAGGTTGCAGTGAGCCGAGATCATGCCATTGCACTCCAGCCTGGGCAACAAGAGTGAAACTCAGTCTCAAAAAAAAATTATTATTATCAGCCATATTCACCATGGTGTGAGATAGACTGCGAAAAAACCCTCAAACTTATTCCTTCTAATAACTGAGACTTTGTACCCTTTGATTACCATCTCCCCATTCCCCCTAACCCAGCCTCTGGTAACCACCATTTAACTCTTCGCTTCTGTGAGTTCAACTGTTTTATATTCCACATGTAAGTGAGAACATGCATCTATTTTTCACTGTTTGGTTTATTTCACATAGCATAATGCTCTCCAATTCCATTCATATTGTTGTAAATGAGTTTCTTTCTTTTTAAGGCTGAATAGTATTATATTATGTATATATACCACTTTTTAAGTGGTATTTGATTAATTGATGCACTGAGGTTGATTTCATAACTTGGCTACTGTAAATAATGCTGCAATCAACATGGGCATGCAAATATGTCTTCAGCAAATGAATTTCAAGTCTTTTGTGTGTCTACAAGTGAGATTGCTACAAGTTAATATTGCTAATGGTCTATCCATTTTATTTATCTTCTCAAAGAACCAGCTTTTTGTTTCATTTATCTTTTGTATTTATTTTTTGGTTCAATTTTATTTCACTTAGTTCTGCTCTGATCTTGGTTATTTCCTTTCTTCTGCTGGGTGGGTTTGGGTTTGGTTTGTTCTTATTTCTCTATATCCTTAAGATACGACCTTAGAATGTCAGTTTGTGCTATTTCAGACTTTTTGATTAAGTGTTTGGGGCTATGAACTTTCCTCATAGAAAGATGCCTTTGCTGTATCCCAGAGGTTTTAATAGGTTGATAGGTTGTGTCATTACTGTCAATCAGTTTGAAGAATTTTTTAATTTCCATCTTGGTTTTGTTTTTGACCCGATACTCATTCAGGAGCAGGTTATGTAATTTCCATGTATTTGCATGGTTTTGAAGTTTCCTTTTGGAGTTGATTTCCACTTTTATTCCACTGTTGTCTGAGAGAGTGTTTGATATAATTTCAATTTTCTTAAATTTATTGAGGATCATTTTATGCCCTATCATGTGGTCTATCTTGGAGAAAGTTCCAGGCACTGTTGAATACAATGTGTATTCTGTGGTTGTTGGATGAAATGTTCTGTATATATCTGTTAAGTCCATTTGTTGCAAAGTATAGTTTAAATCCATTGTTTCTGTGATGACTTTCTGTTTTGATTACCTGTTAGTGCTGTCAGTGGAGTATTGAAGTCCTCCACTATTATTGTGTTGCTGTTTATCTAATTTTGTAGATCTATTAGTAATTGTTTTATAAATTTGGGAGTTCCAGTGTTATGTGCATATACGTTTAGGATTGTGATATTTTCCTGTTGGACAATGCCTTTTACCGTTATATAATGTCCCTTTTTGTCTTTTTTAACTGCCGTTGCTTTAAAGTCTGTTTTGTCTGATATAATAGCTACCCCTGCTTGCTTTTGACATACATTTGCATGAAATCCATCCCTTTACTTTAAGTTTATGTGAGTCCTTATGTGTTAGGTCAGTCTCCCGAAGGCAATGGATTGTCGATTGGTGAATTCTTAGCCATTCTGCAGTTAAGTGGAGTATTTAGGCCATTTACATTCAATGTTAGTATTGAGATGTGAGGTACCGTTTAATTCATTGTGTTATTTGTTGCCTGCTACTTTGTTTTTGTTTTTTGTTTTTGCTTAACTTGTATTTTCATTTTATAGGTTCTGTGTGATTTACACATTAAAGAGATTCTGTTTTGATGTGTTTCCAGGATTTGTTTCAAGATTTAGAGCTCCTTTTAGTAGTTCCCGTAGTGGTGGCTAGGTAATGGCAAATTCTCTCAGCATTTGTTTGTCTGAATAAGACTATCTTTCCTCAATATATGATGCTTAGTTTGCTGGATACAAAATTCTTGGCTGATAATTGTTTTGGTTGAGGAGGCTGAAGATAGGCATCCAATCCTTTCTAGCTTGTAGGGTTTCTGCTGAGAAATCTGCTGTTAATCTCATAGGTTTTCCTTTATAGGTTACCTGGTGCTTTTGCCTCACAGCTCTTAAGATTCTTTCCTTCATCTTAACTTTGGATAACCTGATCACAATGTGCCTAGGCAATGATCTTTTTGTGATGATTTTCCCGGGTGTTTTTTGTGCTTATTATATTTGGATTTCTAAGTCTTCAACAAGACCAGGGAAGTTTTCCTGGATTATTCCCCCAAATATGTTTTCCAAGCTTTTAGAATTCTCTTCTTCCTCAGGAACACCAATTATTCTTAGGTTTGATCATTTAACATAATCCCAGACTTCTTGGAGTCTTTGTTCATATTTTCTTATTCTTTTTTTCTTTGTCTTTGTTGGATTGGGTTAATTCAAAGATCTTGTCTTTGAGCTCTGAATTTCTTTCTTCTACTTATTCAATTCTATTACTGAGAACTTTCCAAAGCATTTTGCATTTCTATAAGTGTGTCCAATGTTTCCTGAATTTTTTTTTCTTTAAGCTATCATCTATTTCCTTGAATATTTCTCCCTTCACTTCTGTATTATTTTTTTGATTTCCTTGCATTGGGCTTTGCCTTTCTCTGGTGCCTCCCTGATTAGCTTAGTAACTAACCTCCTGAACTGTTTTCAGATAAATCAGAGATCTCTTCTTGGTTTGGATACATTGCTGGTGAGCTAGTGTGATATTGGGGGTGTTAATGAGCCTTGTTTTGTCATATTACCAGAGTTGGTTTTCTGGTTCCTTCTCATTTGGGTAGGCTCTGTCAGAGGGAAGGTCTAGGGCTGAAGGCTGTTGTTTAGATTCTTTTGTCCCACAGGGTCTTCCTTTGATGTACCCCCTTTTCCTATGGTGTGGCTTCCTGTGAGCCAAGCTGCAGTGATTGTTATCTCTCTTCTGTGTCTAGCCACCAAGAAGGTCTACCTGCCTCCAGGCTGGTACTGGGGGTTGTCTGCAGAGTCCTGTGATGTGAGCCTTCTATGGGTCTCTCAGCTGTGGATACCAGCACCTGTTCAAGTGGAAGTGGTGGGGAGAGGGGGGGTTAATAGACTCCATGAGCGTTCTTAGCTTTGGCGGTTTAAAGCTCCATTTTTGTGCTGGTTGGCATCTTGCTGGGAGTTGGCACTTTCCAGAAAGCATCAGCTGTGGTAGTATGGAGAGGAACCAGTGTTGGGTGGGGCCCTAGAACTCTCAAGATTATATGCCCTTTGTCTTCCACTACCAGGGTGGGTAGGGAAGGATCATCAGGAGGGGACAGGGCTCAGTGTGTCTGAGCTCAGACTCTCCTTGGGCAGGTATTGCTGTGACTTCTTCAGTTTCTCCAGTGGGTGTGTGTGTTCGGGAGAGGAGGCTCTCCCTTACCCACTTCCACCGTTGGGGCACTCACAGTATTTGTGGTGTCTCCTGGGTCCTGCAGGAGCAGTCTCCCTCCTTCAGAGGGTCTATGAGTCCTCTTAGGATTGCTGATTTTCATAAATTGACATTTTAGAATACTGCCTCCACAGACAAAGTGTGATCCAGGCGGCTCCGCCCCCTGTCACAGTTGCCACCACCAGATGAAAGTATCTTTACATGCAGCTGAAAAACCATCAGTGATTGATATTTGATATTTTAGGCAGAAAATAAATGAACTGTGATGGTGAAGGTTAGAGTAAAAAATAGAAACTTAGGCAACCAGTTGAGATAAATAAAAAAAGAAACATATTGAGAAAGAAGAATAAAAATTCAATTAATTTTACAACAATAAACACCAAGCTAGGCATTCTGTTGAGGGTATCAACACATCATATATGGGTTACTAGTCCTCCAGATCTTAGATATATTAAGGAAGTTGTTTGATAAACAAATCTTGTTCATGCATGGTAAGCTTGAATGAAGATGTCTGAGCAGGATGATAAGAAAACTGAAAAACACATACACACAGTTATGCCTATTAGTTTAGAGAAAGTTCTGAGAGCAGAGATCCTCTCAGCTATGCCTTGACATAGATGCTTGGAATGCTTAATGAAATTTGCCATCTTTAGATTTTTCTAGTACTTATCAAATACACTCTCTAATATTTTATTTTATTTTATTTCATTATTTTCTTTTAACCTACTTTTCTAGTAAGCTTTATTGGGCCATGGTTCCTTGGAGTAAAGAAGAGTTACTTTGTTCAGGAACACCAGGTATTCTCTGCTTTTTCATTCCTGGACAAGGAATTACCCTTGCAGCATTCCTGTACATGAAAGTATCTAGATTTTTAGAGCAGATTATTTCCAATGGTTAATACAAACTTCTCTGTAAAAGGGCTGTGGCTTAGTGAAATTTTGGCTTCTTTCTTGATTTTATTAGGGATATATGCATCACTATTGACAGCCTAACACTCCAAACCATTTGACAGTTCTTTCCGCCATAGGCACTTGACTTAAGTCCCATATATTTAATTAAACATGTTTTCAGTTATGTTTGTGTGCTATAGTTTGGATGTTTGTCCCTCCAAATTTCACACTGAAATTTAATCTTCAATGTTAGCGGTAGGGCCTAGAGGGAAGTGTTTGGATTACAAGGTGGAGACCTCATGAATGTGTTGGTGCTGTCCTCACAGTAATGAATGAGTTCTCACTCTACTAGCTCCCAAGAGAGCTGGTTGTTCAAAAGAGCCTGGCACTTCCTCTCTCTCTCTTACTTCCTCTCTCACCATGTGATCTCTGCATGCATGGATTCCCCTTCCCATTTCTTCATGAGTGGAAACAGCTTGAGGCACTCACCCAATGTACACACCAGCACCATGCTTCTTGTACAGCCTGCAGAACAACTGTGAGCTGAATAAATCTCTTTTCTTTGTAAATTACTAAGCCTTAAATATGTATTTACAACAACACAAAGGAGTAATACAATGTGTATATGGAGAAGGGAAGTCCCTTCCCCAAATTTTCAAGCTTAATCTACAATCCAAAATTTCATGAATTTTAAACCTTTATCCACTAATCCACATCCATTTATATAGCAAAGGTTGACTGGAGGATTACAATGTTCCTAAAATTATCTTGGGTGATAAGGAATCAGCAAAGCACACTCGATGTATGCTACCCGGGCTGAGTGAACAAATACTATACCAGAGGAAGAAGATAAGCAAATATTAAAGAGTATGATATTTATAACACTGGAAGTGCAGTGTTACTGTAGTACTTAGAATGGCTTCTAAAGTAAGGAATGGATTCATAAATGAAGTGATATCTAGACTAGCATTTGAAATAAAATTAAAAAATTATGAGTTAAACAAAAAATATTGTGGGGGAATAGAAAATTATCTTCTAGATTAAGAAAATAAACTGTGCCAAGGCCAGGAGTGAAAGAACATAAGATATTAGAATAACTACAAGATGTCTGGTGAAAATGGAGATAGAATTCAAGGGTGGATATTAAAAAGAAGAGTGGAAAAGAGTTAAATAGTATAAAATATCCTCAAAGCCTTGGAAGCCACATTCATAAACTGGAATCCATATTTCAGTAATGTGAAATCACTCAAATGTTAAATGTTTAATTATTAAAGGTATGCTATAATTGTTTTTAAATTTTATAACGACAACTCTTACCATAGTGGAGATAACTATTTTCTGGGAAGAACAATTTAGCTAGGGATCCAAGTGACATTTGCTGATGATCTAACTGTGGGAAAGCTATTGCAATGGAAAGAAAAATATTTATTTTTAGTTATCATTTGCTTCATGTCATTTATTGTTATCTGAATTTACATATTTGAGGAGAATATCTATTATGTTCCAGAGATAGTAAACATTCTTAACAGCCTTAAATAACAGAAAATTTGTTCATGTTCTTTTTCTTACCTATAAATACGATTACTACTTCCAACAATAATGTAAATAGTACTTATTTTGCTGTTAAGACATCCTCTATAGGATCCTCATATTTAAATATTTTCTTAAAGAATATTAGAACATAGACAAGAGTAAGTCCTTTTTTGGTAGAGGAGAACATGTCAGCCAAAAACAATATGCAAGCATTGGCTATAAAATGGCCACTACAGTCTGGGAATTATAAATAAATTCCTAGATTATTTATATTATTGGGACACAGATTAGAAAGATAAATTTAGGTCAGTTTGTAGATAAGTCTCCATATCAGTCAGAAAATTTTCACTTAATTTTGTGGAATATTAGCAACCAGTGGGTTTTTTTTTAGAAGAGCCTATGGTGTGCTTAGTGTAGAAGAAATGAAATTATAGCATACGTTATTTTAAATATTAGAAGTAGACTGGTTCTATCTAAAAATATTTTGTGTTATTTCAATCTAAGGATAGTTGAAAAGAAATAGATGAAATACTCATAAGTGGGGAAGAAGTCAATGTATATCAAACATACTTTAAAATGATCAATTCTTCTGTTGATGTAAACAAAGAAAAGACAGAGACTGGGATGGAGACATGAATGTTGTGCTAAAGTTTTTTTTAGCAGGTCAGCAACTATCCTGGACAGTAGTAGATGAGAGTGTTTCGGGTGTGTTTTAAATAAATGGTGTGTAAACTTTGAAAGAAGACAGGCTGTTGAGACATGGTGATTTAACAATGGTTTATGGAACACATTTAGAAGTAATAATTTTGCTGAATTTTCCTTGTTATTCCACAAGAAGGAGAAACTGGAATAATAATCATGATCTTTGGAGCAACTAAAGTCATATATATTGTTATTCACCAGGAAATTTCTATGGGTCTGTGTCAAAGCCTAAGTACACCAGATGGAAAATACTTAAAAAAAAAAAATTCTGAGAGCCATCAATGTTATGTGGGATGTCAGATACAAAAAAACAAATGCAATAGATTAAGACAAGTTCTAAGTATGCCTAAAAATTGTGATAAACTCTAAATAATTCCACTCCTAACTTATTTCACATGAAGATGAAGGAAATATACAAGTTATAATCAGTGGAGCGAAGTCTAGAAATTAAGTGTAAGTTGGATCCTTTGGGAGTTTCATAAATGTGCATACTGTATAGAATATTTTTAATTTGACTGTGATCAGGGAGTCATTTCAATGACTGAAATCAGTAAAACTATTTCAATTATGATAAATTTGATTTAACTTGAATAAAACATGAAATGAAATCATTGTTTACTAATCTTGCTTTTAGCTTACTTGATATGTCTGATACCCCATGAGTCAATCATTCCACTAATATGTTCAGTTTTTCCCATCGTGAAATGGTCTTTATTCCTGCTGCACTAAAGCAGCAACATAAATAACACTATACTTATTTTATAAATCTAGGATTGAACAGAAAACACTGGATTATATGATTGAGAAGAAAACACCACATCCTCAGATTACAGATACTATTTTACACTTTTAAAAGTATTCCATTCTTCAGTATAATTTTTCTGGGTTTTAATTATAAAAACTAATTTTTAACAGTATAAAGTATGAGGCTTAATGAGTGGAAATTCTGTGATTATGTGTCATGTGAGAAAAACTTGATACATAAAATTTTTTTAAAACAAGAAAAAGCTGTGTACCTGCAAAGAAGTAAAGAATCACAACAATTCAGCAGACACATTTGATTTGAGTATTTTTTAAAGATTTTGGTGAATCCGTGATATTTGAGTTTTCATGTAAAATAGGTTAGATGCTTGTTCTCTAAAAACAGTGTTCTTTTAAAAACAACAGCAACAAAACCTATCAAAATATTGTGAGGTCAGCTTGACCAACTTTATCACTCCCTTGGATATTAAGAAAAGCACAAATACGGTATTGCTGTTTTTGTTGTCTCCAGTAAGAGTGAAAATAGCCAAAGGGGAGAGAAAAATTTACAAGAAGCACCAAAGTTCAAACATAAACCAGTTCCAAATTTGTGATGACTTGATAGTGAAACCTGTTACCTGGATCCCGGAAGAGATGCCCATGCAATCACTTACAAATCCAAGTACCTCCATATGCAGCTCATTCAGTAAATGGGAGATAAAAAGGAAGGGGGAGTTGTTTTCTCAGGGTTCATTTGGCACTGTTTCTTAAGTTTTTGTGCATAGTATTACTTGAAAAACTTGTTAAATGTTCTATGCCCCTATTCATTATATTACACTTGGAATTGATGTTGCCCAAGATATTCATTTTTAACAAGATCCCTAGATGATTCTGATGTGATACTAGATCAGAGTTGAGACACTACTAAAAACTATACAAATAATCAGAACTGCAACCTTCCTGGAATCCAAATGCTGTTTCCCAATCTTTTCTCCTTAGAAACTAGGTCTTCTCTCAGACTTATCTTAACATTTACAGGGACAAAATAATAGCAGCTGGAATGTATTAAATTGTTTGTATGCCTGACACTGTTCAGGAACTTTATGTGCATTTTCTCTTTTAATTCCTATAGCCATTTTAGTATGCAGGTCGTATTATTACCATATCCATTTACTAGATAAGTGGCAAGTAAGGTAGCTAAAATAGGTCATTAGGGCTCACACTAGTAAGTGGCAGAGCAAGAATCCTGGTGCAACTGATCTGGAACATAAGCTTTAGTCATGATGCTGTTTTGAGAGAAGCAAGTAAAGTCAGAAAGGAGAGAAGAGGAATTGGCTGGTAATTTTCTTTTTCTATCTTATGTCAGTTCTCTGCCTCTGCATTTTCTAGATTCCCCTCCCCTTTGTCTTCCTGTGAGCTTTTGCTCAGGAATATTACAGAGGAGGAGAAGGGAAAATGCAGAGAGCATCACTACCCATTTAGACAGCTTCTCTAAAATAATTGTGTCATCTCTATGGTCCAGCTCCAATCTGGCATCCCTACAATGGATCAAGCCTATAATAGGTGGCACCAACTTCTGGTCTCCAGTAATAACACCTTGTAATTTGATTCTTCCTGTCTTAGGTTGCAGCTTCCTACAGTTACAAATACCGTTTCCTCAATTTCCCCAGTTTGAACTTTCAGTTTTTCTATCTGTAATTCGTTCCCTGTATTTTCTCTATGAAACTATCTGATGTAAACTTTGTTTTCCTAATTGGAAACAGATGGACTCTAGAAGGAAATATGGTATAGCAGCAGTAAAGGTAAAATAAATCTTTAAAAAATGCTGATCCAGAAGCAAACATTCTTCTATTTTTTATTGTATTTACTCACGACCCTTGTCTATCTTGTCTTAGAAACCAGCAGTCAAGCCTGTATGTACTACCTCAACAGGCAGTTTTGATATCTGGATTGAGCAATGGGTGGGTGGGGAGGGGGTACCTGTTGGAGGCTAGAAGCTAAAGGAAAGGCAGATAAGTATATTTTTGTCCTGGCTTAATCCCATTGCTTGGCTTAGGATGATAGCATCCTTTTACTAAACACTAAGCTACTATAAAGTAAACATCTCCACATTCTTGGTACAAGTAATTCTTTCTTTTTATTAACTGGCAGGCCTAGACCTTCTTTTATGGTGGAAACTGCAATGCTTCACTCAGATTGCCCTTCGACAAAGAATGCGTTACCCACCTCCACCTCCTCTGGGGCAGCATAACTCAAGCAACTCTGATTTTAGCTACTGAGCTACTACCACATGGTTAGCTGTGGTTGTCTTGAGCTCACATTGTGCTGGAATCTTATCTCTATCCAATGTTGGTTTTTTCCTTTTTTTTCTTTTCCACAGCTGTTGGTCCTGGATCTGAGAGCACTCCTTAATAAACATCCTGTATGCCAAACTCAGTCTCAGAATCTACTTCTCTAAAAAAATTCCACCTACAAAACCCAGAAGACTGTACTTTCTTTTTTCCTTTTTCTTTCTTTTTTTTTTTTTTTTGTGACAGCATCTCGCTCTGTCACCCAGGCTGGAGTGCAGTGGTGTGATCTTGGCTCACTGCAACCTCAGCCTCCAGGGTTCAAGCAATTCTCTGCCTCGGTCTCCCCAGTAGCTGGGATTACAGGCACCTGCCACCACACCCGGCTAATTTTTTTGTATTTTTAGTAGAGATGGGGTTTCACCATCTTAGCCAGGCTGGTATTAAACTCCTGACCTCGCGATCCACCCATCTCAGCCTCCCAAAGTGCTGGGATTACAGGCGTGAGCCACTGCGACTGGCCAAGACCACTTTCTACTGTGTTGGTCTCCATAAACACTAATCAGACCTCTGTAAATAGATTCAGTTATCTAGTTTGAATAGGCCATCTGTTGCCACTAGGAAATGAACTGATACAGCCTTGTTAGACACTTTATTTCCTCTGAGTATGATGAAAGCTACTAACGACTTTTGGACAGAGGGGTGATATGATGAGATTTAAATCAGATAGACTGCTCTATGAAGAATACACTACAGGAGGACAAGGGCAGAAGGAATGAGATAGGTGAGAAAGTTATTGCAGTAATACAGATATGAATGATGGCAGCTTAGGCCAGGGTTGTAGTGGTAGTGAAAATCACTCTGATTTGGAATACATTTTAAAGTGGGCCTACAATATTTACTAAGAAGTGATGTGAAAGAAAGAGACCAGCCCACTGTAATTCCACATTTTTTATTTCTATCAATTAGAATATTTGAGTTACATTTTCTGAGATGGATATGGTTGCAAAAATTGCAATATAAGACATGAAAATAAAAAGGTAACTTTTGAATGCTAGTTCTTGGGTGCTTTTGTATACCTGACTGAAAATGTCAACTCGACAATTTATATACCAGTCTGTACATGAGGGATAATATCAGGGCTGGATAAGTATAGTAGAAAGTCATAAAACTTTAAGACAACACTTAAAGCAATGTCAATAAGAAACAGTGAGTGACACTAGAAAAGAGAAGGGGTTCATAGGTTGAACCTTGGGTACTGTAAAGTAAACAAGTTAGAAGAGAACAGCAAAGAAGACAGAAAAACAGCAACTAATGATATAGGAAATGAACCAAGGAAAATGTGCAAAAGTGTTTGAAGAATGAGGAAGTGGGCAACTGTATCAAATTCTATTGACAGAAGTAATAAAAGACTAAGAATGAAACGTGGTATATCAAAGTGAAGATCATTGCTGAGTTGGCAAAGACTGTTTTGTTGTACTGGTAGAGATGAAAGCTTAATTGTAGTTTGATTTACAAAATTCATGGAAATACATTAAAGAGATTATACACCGTAATCAAGTGTGATTTATCCCAAGGAGCAAGGATTGTTCAAAAGACAATCAATAAATGTGCTACATCATTTTAACAACATGAAGGATAAAAACTACACAGTCATCCACAGATGTAGAAAAAGCATTCAACAACATTTTACACCTTTTCATGATAAAAATGCTTGACGAATTGGGTATACAAGAAATGTACCACAACATCATAAAGTCCACATATAAGAAATCCACAGCTAACATTATACTCAATTGTGAAAAAATAAAAGCTGTTCTGTTGTAGGAAGTCAGGGAACTTATAAAATCAGCAACAACATGAAAATGCTCAGTCTTACTACTTCCATTCAACTCAGTACTAGAAATCTTAGCTACAGCAATTAGGCAATAAAAGGCACCCATATTGGAAAAGAAGAATTTAAAATGTCTCTGTTTGCAGATGACATGTTCTTGTATATAGAAAACCCTAAAGACTAAAAAACATAAAAATAAAAAACAAAAACAAAACATTATTAAACACTGATGAAAGAAATTAAACACAAATAAAAGGAAAACATCCCATGTTGTTTGTTGGGAAGAATTAATATTATTAAAATATCTGTACTATTTAAGTGATCTACAGATTTAATATAATCCTATCAAATTTCAATGTCATTTTTCACAGAAATAGGAAAAACCAATTTTTAAATTCATATGGAACCACAAAAAACTCCAAATAACCAAAGTAGTCTTGGGAAAGAAGAAAAAGCTGGAGGCATTGCACTTACTTACTTTAAAATATATTACAAAGCTACAGTAATTTAAATAGTATGATATTGGTATAAAGACAAAAATATAAACCAATGTAGCAAAATAGAGACCCTAGAAATAAATGGATGTAAATATTTTCAGTTGATCAACAAGGGTGCCAAGAATACATGGGAAAAATTATAGTCTCTTAAACAAATAATGCTAGGGAAACTGAATTTCCATATGCAAAAGGATGAAATTGGACCCCTATCTTACACGATATATGAAAGTCAACTCAAAATGTATTAAAGACAAATGTAAGATCTGAAACTGAAAAACTTCTCAAAGAAAACACAAGGGAAAAATTTCTTGACATTTGTCTGGGCAATTATTTCCTGAATTTGACACTGATAACGCAGACAACAAAACCCCTCAAAATAAATGGGACTACTTCATATTGAAAAGCTTCTGTACAGGAAAGAAAATGATCAAGAATGAAAAAGACATCATATGAAATGGGAGAAACTATTTGCACACCATCTATCTCATGGTTTGGTTAATATTCAAACTATATGAGCAGAATGTGTAAGGATATCCTACAACTCAATAGCAAAAGAAAAAAAAAGAAAAAGAAAAGAAAACCTAATTTAAAAATGAGCAAAGGGCTTAAATAGACATTTCTCCAAAGAAAACATACAAATGTCCAACAGTTACATGAAAAGATACTCAATACCACTAATCATCAGAAAAATGCAAATATAAACCACAATGAATTATCACCTCTCATCTGTTATGATGACTATTATAAAAAAAAAAAAGATAACAAGTGTCAGTGAGGATGTGGAGAAATTAGAACCCTTATACACGATTGATAGGAATGTAGGATGGTACACTCACTATGGAACACAGTATGTAGTTTCCTCAAAAATGCGATAATAATATACACTATTATTGTCATTCAATGATGAGCCTGATGAGTTAAAAATATACATAGGAAAAGCAGAACTGCGGCATAAACTTGTTATCTCTATTCTAATTTTAGCTCTTCTCTTTCTCTAGTACTCAGAGTTTACTGACTATGGTAGAGATTTGTAAGAGATAAATGCAGGTATAAATAGTTAATGCAAAAAATTCAAAATCATTCCATTACATTTCTGTTTTATGCATGAACTACCTGTATACAGGGTATTTTTAAAAATACTTTAGCTTTCTTTCACTTATTTTCCATTGTCCAAATTGTTATTCAAAATGTGAGTACTTTTTATAAAATTATTTTATTTGCTAGATATCTAAATAACTCCATAGACAAGTCCTATATATTTTTCCCAACCATGAAATTCTAAGTAGTTGTGTTATAAATTAGATTTTTGTGTGTGATTCTAAGAAACTAATATGCTTATAATGAAATGAGATTCCATTTCAGTACTGCAGAGGATTACACAGCATAATGATGATTAAAAATACTTTGAAAGAGTCTTATTCAGAGACAAAGCTTTAAGAAAATCCTATATTATTAAAAAAGATACTAAATCATTCAAGTATTATATACATTATTTCTTAATAGCAAAGTATTTGTGATTTACAATATAAATTGTTACTTAGTATTCTATTTAAGCTGTCTCAAAAAATGGCATATAAAAATAAATATACATTTATAATATTATTTGATAGCACAGAAGTCAGGAAATTGTTATAGCTTCCTTTTACAGTACAAGCACTTCATTCTCCATATGACCACATAATATTTAAATTCTTTTCTCAAAAGCACTTATACGATCTCTGAAGGTCATAAATGAATTTTGGTCTAGGAATAAAAGATATTTAATGTATATATAAAAATTATCAACATTATTTTGAATTTCTACTCATAAATGGAAACAGAATTGGCTCACTTAAAGGAATTTATCTATTTTAAACCTCTAAGATTTCAAAACATTCAACCTAGTGTTCATTTATTACTATAATTTGTCATTGATTTAAATTTAATCCTATGATTACATTTTTTCTATTAAGGGTGAATTTTCTATTACTCTCTACTTACTTGTAAAATGACAAGGATTATTAGAAGTTTTCCAGTACATATCATAGATTATTTTGAAAACGGCTGAAAGTACTCCCCTTTTTTAGTCACCTTTTGCAATTTGACTTTGAAGTTCTTCTCATCAAGTGGTAGTTTATGTTGTTTGTATTTTGGTTCAGTTCTTGGCTTCATAAAGGAATATTGTAGCATCAGTAACTGCTAATTGTAATTAGAAGAAAACAAGCTCTGAACAGAAGATAGTTCCCAAGTCAAACAACTTTTGATCAAATATAATTTCAAGATACATGTGTATTGAATGAGAATACTCTGAAAAAGTATCAAAAATCTTACTCCTTCATCTTTATTACTAAAATGCATACTGTGAAACCCATGATTATAGAAATGCTATAGCCCATTCCTCAACTTCTATTTTAATAACTAAGAACCCTGGAGAGCAAGTCATTATTCAGAATGATACTTTACAGCATTGAGAAATTTGACATGAACTGTGATTAATGTGACTCTGATCAAACACTGTGCAATGCTGAGATTTCAATTTGAGTTTTTAAATTAGCTTCTTTCTCACCATGCTAAAATCAAACATCCACTGATTAAATGAAAATAAATTATAAAGCAGAAGGATAAATTTTGAATCAGAAATTACATTTTTATCAATTGACTTTTAACTTATTAAAATATATATATTTTCTATTTGACCTACAGAGAGGCAAGTGAGAGAATTAAAAATAAAATTGAAGAAAGCACAGCATGACTCCTCAGGACAAACTTTTTAAAGGAAACATTGGCAAATCATCATAAAAATGTTTTTAAGAAAAGTCAAACACATAGATTCTACTATTCTATTGTAAGGACCAAATACAAATTTAAAACTAGGGGCTTAATTCTCTGTTGAAAATAAGGGAAAAGATTTTCCTTTCTCCCTTTTTCTTTGGGCATTTACTTTAAAACTTATAAGTACACACTTTCTGTTTTTTGAAATGTATATAAATCCTTTCGAAGACTAGATTGGCCTTTTGTCAACTTTATGACCCAATAATGTCTTTCTCAAAGACCTGAAACATCTCTCTGACATGTAAACATCAAGAGAGATAGCACCCATATCTCCCAGTTTCTTGGGAGGGTAGAAACCTAATGTCAGTGGATACCAAGCTTTAAGTTGTAAAATTACCTTCTGCCATGAAAACCTGATAAGCCTGTTTTTCCTCCAGATAAAGTCAATAAGCTAACACAGGTGGTCACCACAATTGCCAGGTAAAGTTAGGATAAACTACATGTGATAAATAGTACTATCAAGTGCTCTTACTTAAAGACTATTTTTTATCTTGAAAACATATATGTAATGGGTTATATCTGCTTGGCTATGTACAAGAGTGAGATTTACAATCTTTTAGCGGATTGCCTGTGATGTTCGTTATACTCTCATTTAATAGAGCTGTGTTTGCTCAACGATGGCGACACATTTGAGAATGTGTCCTTAGGCAATTCTGTAATTGTACAAACATCGTAGAGTGTACTTACACAAACCTAGATGGTATGGCCTACCATACACCCAAACTATCTGGTATAGCCTATTGCTCATAGGCTGCAAACTTGTACAGCATGCTACTATAGACCACTGTAACACAACGGTATTTGTGTATCTAAACATATCTAAAAGTAAAAAATGTACAGTAAAAATAAAGTGTTACAATCTACAGCACCGCTGGCATATATGCAGTTCATGACTGTACTTATCCAATGGTAAAGATGCTATCTTTCTCCACTATTACTGTGGAGTTTTCCAGATTGGAAAATTTTTGTTTTTAATTATAATTACTCACACTATCTTGAATTAAATTAATTAAATTAAAAACTTTAGCAACACTGCAAATCACTTAATGACTCAAGGTAGGACAGAGGTGGAGCCCAGAGAGTGTATAGACAGGTGCTATGGTCTGAATGTTTGTACCCCACAAAATATTCAGATGTTGAAATTCTAACCCTCAACGTTATAGTATAAGAAGCAGGGCATCTGGGGTGGTGATTAGGAGCAAGAAGGTGCCATCTATGAGAAAGAAAGTCTTTACCAGACATCAAATCTGCCAGAGACTTCATCTTGGACTTCTCAGCTCTCAGATCTGTGAGAAATAAATTTCTATAGTTTATAATTCACCCATTCTGTGGGATTTTATTATAGCAGCCCGAATGGATAATCTAAGGGAACAGTTATTTTAAGAAAAAAAAAAAAAGGAGCCTCATCGAAACTATGCTTGGGATACTTGGAAAAAAATTATCTGTAGAAGAAACACCAGAAAAATAAAAACAAAGATGCCTAACACATAGAGTACTTTAAAGAATACTTATATTATAATGCATATGTTAAAATATTTTACAGCATTATAATTATAATATTACACTTTTTACCATACTTGGCCTTAACATTTGTAGGAGAAAAAAAAATCTCCAAAAATTGCATTTAACAATGGCATTTACTAAAAATAGAGTTTTATACGTTGAAAATTTGTTGCTTTATTTCTTTCCCTCTCTTAATTTATTTAAATTTCCACCCCCTAAAAATAAATCTCATTTTATAAATATGCAATAAGCATACTGTAGGAGTTTTAAGATACAATAAGCTTTCTTCCTATGTTTAAATTCATTTAAAATATTTTATTTCAGATTTTTGTAGGTTTGTCAAAACACTCTTCATTTGTCTTAGTGCATGAGTTTAAGTGTTCATTATAAGCAAATGATTTCAGAGTATAACAGGTAAATACATGCATAGCTAAGTTCAGTCTAGAAAAATGAATCTTAGTGATTACTAATTCTGTCTCTTTTTATACTCTAGGTCCTTTTACAACTGAATAGCTAAGAGAGCTGCATTTTTTTCTTGAATTAATTATATTTTTACCACAAACAAATATTTAAGATATTTCTAAATTATCATTGCCATGAAGAAGCTGATTACATTGTAGGCCATATAAAAGTGCATGATTTTCTCATAATTTTTAGAATTTCCAAATTCCTATTTTAAAAGATCCTGATCTTGACTGGTGGCTCACACTCTGCAGCATGCAAAAAAGGTAACCAACCTCAAGCTACAGACTATTCTCTTTACCTTATTTGAATCTTGAGAGTATCAAGAGTTTGGTTTGCTAACTACCCTATAAAATGAAACAGGCTGCGCCCGGTGGCTCATGCCTGTAACCCCAGAACTTTAGGAGGCTGAAGCGGGTGGATCACCTAAGGTCAGGAGTTCAAGACCAGCCTGGCCAATGTGGAGAAACACTGTCTCTACAAAAAAATACAAAGAATTAGCTGGGCGTGGTGGCAGGCACCTGTAATCCCAGCTACTCGGGAGGCTGAGGCAGTGAATCACTTGAACCTGGGAGGCAGAGGTTACAGTGAGCTGAGATCACGCCATTGCACTCCAGCCTGGGCAACAAAGAGTGAAACTCTGTCTCAAAAAAAAAAAAAAAAAAAGAAAAGAAAGAAACAATTGTCCTAAGGTGTTAAAAATCTTCTTGTTATTGTTATTAGATCTGAAATAAGCTGAGCAGTATATTTGTCCTTTGATTCTGTTTAGGGCTACTGCAAATTACAAAAATATAAAGATTAGTTTTTCATATTGGTTAGAAAGATAAAAGGTCATATTTAAACAAATCAATAGAAAGTAATTTTTCACCAAAAACAATCAACAGTCATGATGGTCATTATGATCCGAAACAAACCAGCTGCAGATATTAGTGAAGGAATTGAAGCACTGTGTGGCAAAATGTAGAAGGCAGGAATTAATTGAGTGTTGTCCTTTTATTTGATTGCATCTATTTAAAGTTTGCTTCCACGCCCTCAACCTCATGCCATAAATCAATTGCATAATATTTACATAGAATGTCCCAGTCAATGTATTTGTCCTTACTTCAAGATCACATCTGAGTTTTTTTTCAAATCTTTATTTTAACTTAGAAATCATAATAGAATGTTCTGTGTCCTTTAAATTATGTGGTCCAGTTAGTTTTTAAAAGATAAACTAATTTTAAGTAATTTACTATGTAATGAAAATTATGATAACAAGGGTGCAACAAAATAGTTGTGGCAAATAAACATCTAAACATGATGGGGCTATAAAATAATATCTGTATACATTTTATGGTGTTGCATAATAGTATTAATTCTATTAACAATGCATATTAATACCAGAGAGTACTATTTAAAGATAATACCAGAGACTACTATTGAAAAAATAGGACTAAACATTCTCTACCTACTCTCGTCTACCCATTTTGTCAAATGTCTCTCCATAAGCAGTAGCTCTAATTGTGCAGGATAATCAGGAATCAGGGAGAGTATTTTATTCATCCAACAATAAGACTAGACTTTCTGTATTTTAATTATAGAAAACCAACATCTAAATCTCAAACCAATGGTGTGTGTGTGTGTGGGGGGGTTATATGCAATTCAAAACATGACTATTTATTTTATCCACTCACCTCTAGAATTCCAAGTTCCTCATAATGAGGCAGCTTGTTTTCTTAATTTTTCTCATTTCAGATACCGTCTCTATTACTTCAGAACAAGAATATTGATTGCACTTGGTGAATTAAGATATGAAGGACTGAAATTTAACCTTTCAGTGAAAGTTTTTAGAAGATTGAAATGGTTTTGAAAAATTGAAGTTTGCATTCATACCAATAAAATCAAAACAATGGGCCAGGTGCAGTGCCTCATGCCTTTAATGCAAGCACTTCGGGAGGCCAACGCAGATGGATCACCTGATGTCAGGAATTTGAGACCAGCCTGGCCAACATGGTGAAACCCCAGCTCCACTAAAAATACAAAAGTTAGCTGGGCATAGTGGCAGGCACCTGTAATCCCAGCTACTTGGGAGGCTGAAGCAGGAGAATCACTTGAATCCAGGAGGCAGAGTTTGCATTGAGCCGAGATAGTGCCACGGCCCTTCAGCCTGGGCTACAAGAGCAAAACCCCACCTCAAAACAAACAAACAAACAAAAACAATGAAATTATTTAACTCTGCATTTACAAAGAAAATGAAGTTAAAAGGTATAGAATGTATGTATATATACACACATATATATACATATATATTCCTCCATATATATGCCTTTGTGCCTATATACATGCGCACACACACACACAAAGGAGGGTGCACATATGTGTGCATACACACACACACACACACACACACACACGGAGAGAGAGACAGTATGGTCCAGAAAAGGCCACTGATAAAGCTGCAGAAAACTGTATCTTAAACTATTTGTTATGAAAATATACCACAACAAATAGACAAATAGCCTCTATAGATCATTAATAAATACTTTGCATTTAAACACATAAGAGGGTTTGGGAGGTATAATTAGCAGGGTAAAGCCATGAGGAATATTATATTTGGGTTGAAATGAGGTGTGACTTTGAAGCAATAGTTTTTTTTCTCTATAGATGTAGTTTTGAAAAAGCATGATAAAAATGAATTTCTTACCCCCAAACTAAATAAATAAATATTTCAGTTACTGTAATATAATTATTTACACTTGACTTTGTCACTTCTTGTGTTAAAATTTAAGAACTTATTTTATATTCTTGAATCTTATTTCCTTGGCAGTAAAGATTATTAGACTAAATATTGGTGTTTTTGAATAATAATGTCTAGTGGTAATACTGTTTTAAGAAAAAAAAGAAAAAGCAAGGGAGGAAGGGAGGAAAGAAGGAAAGAAGGGAAGGGAGGAAAGGAAGAAGGAAGGGAGAAAGGAAGGAAGGGGAAACAAAGGAGGAAAGAAAGAAAGGAAAAAGTGATAGGGAGGAAAAAAGAGTCATGTTATTTAAAGGTGCAAAACCTGAATGCTTAGAAAACAAAAACATATTCAATAACTTACTTTCTAAAAATAGTACCTCAGCACATTTATTTATTATTTTAAAATATGTGTCTATTCATATATGTATATAAACCGATTAGATAAAAACTTTCAATTTGTCTAAGATTCAGGTTGATTGGTTGATACTGCCAAAAAAAAAAAAGAAAGAAAAACATGTCTTTTTAGAGCAGTAAATCTCTCCGACAAATAGATTAAATGAGAAGAATTTTGAAACTTAATTGTTTTCCAGGCTGCACACAACATCTGATGCTTGATTCATTTTTTTCGTAAATAGATGTCTCCATGTACAAATAAGTGTAACATTTGATATATTTTGTAGGCATTGATATATTTGTACAACTGGAGCTCCATTTACCTGCCTTTTCCAGCACAAAGTATTGGTGGTTAACTTTAACAGGTCTTGCCTTTGATTTTATTTAATTGCACCGTATATTTAAGCTTTATGTTATACTATTGCTATCATGTGTCTGTAGAAAAAGTCCAAAATGTTTGGAATCTTTCCTTTTTGCTCTGCTTTTTTCTTTCATTTTATTTACTGATTCAGTTTTTCTTTTCCTGTGATTTACTTGTAGTTACAGCAGACTTGAATGCCTCTCATCTTGCCAGGAACGGGGACTTTCCATCACATTACCTCCTCTGTATTTAGATAATTCCACTAGGTCTCAATAAAGCAGAGAATTGATTTTTAAGATCTTGATGTTAACTCTCCGGATTTACACAATATCAATCTATGAGTTCTTCTTTGCTTTATTTATTTTTTCCTTTTTTTTTCTTCCTGCCAAAATGACTTCATGACTTAGCCTCTGAAGAGGCTTTTCCTGCATTAAGCTATATTTTCTGTGGTGTTATAAGATCCCGGGGCAAAAGCATTAGTAGCATTATTTCTTCTTTTTACTTAAT
Source organism: Homo sapiens (assembly GCF_000001405.40). Taxonomy (NCBI): domain Eukaryota; kingdom Metazoa; phylum Chordata; class Mammalia; order Primates; family Hominidae; genus Homo; species Homo sapiens. The sequence goes on along the minus strand of NW_019805491.1, from coordinate 64,213 downwards.
TGCATTTTAAACATAGTACCAAACAAGGTACTTTCTGTTTACCCCCATTTGGACATATCCTGTCCCCTTTGGAAGCAGCAAGTGTCAGCGAGGGCAATCAATGAAGCAAGCAGCCATAACTGCCAAGCAGAAAAGCTGGCTTGCAAAAAGTCACTATACCAATAGAATGAGCCTAATTTTATCCCAATTTTGTAATTCTCTCTATAAAGCAGTCCAATATATAGAATATGTGAAGGGATATGGATGAATAACTTATGTAGCTTATTTGTAATAGCTAACCAGTTTTGTAAGAGATACAAGTATGCAGGAATTAACTCAGTATTCTAAGTTTTATTTATTAACGCCAAGAAAGTGATTTTCCACTGTAAAAGCAATTTCATTCTTTGTTACCCCACCCTTCATTTCAACCTTTGAGTTTTTCCTCAGGACTGCTTCTCAGATGAACTCAGCTATAATTCCTATTTAATATTTACTTCTCTTTAAATATGACATTTCTAGTTTTCACTTAATTATGGAAGGAAATGTATCATCAGTAATCAGAAACAGATCATAAATGGTTTTGTCTTTGCTTCTTTGTCTCATCCACCAAATATTCTTAGTTTTTCCCATTTTTATGATGATAAAAAGTAAATATTACCCTTATCCCCTCTTCCTTTTTTGAGGACCAGGAAAATTTCAGTATAGCACAAATAAACATTTATTTTTCTAAGTATATTTCTGCACTTTTCCTGCTTAAAACAATAATTGCATTATTCTATACTAAATTGGCTACCCAGTACATGGGACGACGTTAATAATTGAACTGTCAAATCAGACTAATACAAATCAAATATCTTGCTTAATATCAAGCTTTACTAATAATTTGAAGGGTGCCATCATCAGTCAATAGGCTCAGATGAAGCAGAGAGGGGCCTGGAACATCAAGAGCAGCTCCCTATGTCCTGTTTTCCCACAACAGAAATGTGTCCTTCTCTACAGAGTAATAGATGAGGTCTCCAAGAGAGCTAACAGCAGAAAGAGTATGTGAGTTTTCAAACATTTCTGTTTTGTACAACAAGGTGTTGTACAGCTTGCACTAACTACTCCAGGGAGCCATGGTTCATAAATCCATAGATACTCTTTACTATAGGCAATCCTTAACCAAGGACATTCTGCTAAAGGCACTTCAAAGATAAAGTTTCTTCTTCCTAGCAAATATCACTTGTCTTTCAACCTAGAGTCCAGATGACACAGTTATTAGACCTGGTAAACCGCCTCTTTTCTTCCCTTGGGAGGTGACCCAAGTAAAGAAAATGAGTGTTCATCCGGTCAGCTTCTGTATGTATCTATGTATCTCCTCCTTTGCCAGAGCTATAATTTTGATGTGAACACAATAGATTTTCCACAGTTTGTGTGACCCTATCATATACAGAGTAAACATCAAGTTAGAATTGTAACTTGTCCTTCCTCACATTGATCTAGTCTCTGCGTCTCTGTTTAGTTGTATCTCCTGCCATATTCCTCCTCATACTGTGCCCTACTACATACCTGAGTCGTTTTTCCTCAGCCGATTTGAGGTTTCTCCACAAACAATGACGTTACATGCTTCCTTGCCTTTATCCTTGCTCCTTTCTCTGGCAGGACCACCTTCAACCTGTCTTCCCTGACATATTGATGCCAGTTTGTCCTTATAGATTCAATATAGGCATCGCCTACTTCAGGAAGTCTTCTATCTCACCCCAGTATGAGATATGATGACCTTTTCTTTGCACCTTGCATCCCATACCTGTCTTTCTTTAATGTTACAAACTTTATTGGCTTGGACTTTAACTCCACCCCACTTTTTTCCCACATAATTCAATTTGAGGACACCATATTTATGTCTCCTACATATTTATTTCCACAAGTTCTGGTTTATTGAATTACAAATACTGATACAATCTTTATTCAATACATTATTCCTTATAAGGATGGGATAAGGATGGGATAAATTGGAACAGTAGGGATTTATACACTATTAAATTATTTGTTATATATCAATCCAGGGGCCCCAATGATATTGTGAAATTTAGTATAGGTTTTATCTCTTCAAATCTGTCGAGTTCTGAATATAGTTCAATCACTTTAAAAAATGTTTTACATGTTTTAAATAATTTCAACTTTTATTTTAGATTCAAGGGGTACATGTTCAGGTTTGTAACATGGATATATTGTGTGATGCTAAAGCCTGCCCAAATGATCACGTCACCCAGGTATTAAGCATAGTGCCCAACATTAGTTTTTCAACCCTTCCCCCTCCCTCTCTCTCACCTCCATATCCCCCAGTATCTATCGTTGCCACTTTTATGTCCATGAGTACCTAATGTTTAGTTCCCATCTATAAGTCAGAATATGTGATTTTTGGATTTTTGTTTCTACATTAATTTGCTTAGGATAGTGGCCTCCAGCTGCAGACATGTTGCTGCAAAGGACATGATTTCCTTCTGTTTCATGCCCATGCCTATTTTAATGTTCAAATTGTATTAACAATTTCTCATATATTTCCTGATAGGTAGAAATCTTGTTTTATTGCCGCATTCCCAAAATTGAATCCATAATCCCAGTATAAATATTCAAATTCCATAAATAAAGGGCATTTTTAAATTACTAAATAAACACCTACTTAATGAACTAAGCTTCTCTTAAGACAATCTCATTCTTTCCATTAAAAAAAAAAAAAAAAAACTGTGCAAGTTGCTGTAGATATGGCAGTAGGTAAGATAGCCAGAACCCTGCTCTCATCTGACGGCATAGGGTAGTGCTGCTCAGGAAGTTCTCTACTAGCCACCTACGTCAGGATTTCTTGCATGGACAGAAAACTAAAATGCAGATGTCTAGGCCAAATACATGGCCAAAATGTCAGAACTCTGAGCATAGATTCCAGGCATTTGCATTTGCCAGGTTGCTTATCATACACACAAGACTTGTGGATCTCTAGCTTACTTGAGACAAAATTCCAAGTATAATTTCATAAATTAAGATTGATTCAATGGTTAAGTTTTACTATACAAAAGCAGCCAGGCCATAAAGCATGTGTTTTCTTCATTTCAACAATTATAGGATTCCAATAGAGTCACATAAAAATCATCCGTGCTATGATAGGAGACACACACATACACACACACATTTTACTGCAGGAAGCAAAACTGCTCAAAATTAGACACATTTCTTAATACTTGGTAAACCCTGACAACTTACAAAATAAAAAAGACCCCTGAATACTCCTGAATTTTTGAGCTTTATAGATATTAATCATATATCACTCATAATCATTACAATATATGCCAATTTGCATCACTGTAAATTATATAAGGTTTCTGGAGAATATATATGTATATATATTTTTCCCCTGAGGTGTGTTTTTATTTTATATGTGTAGAAAATTTTTTAAATATATGTCCCTTTTCTTCCAAAAAATTGGCTATTACTTGAAATCAGTGACTGAACATCCTTTATAATTCCTATTTGTCCATAGCAAAATGAGAGTATCAGAGAACATCAAAGCTAACAGAAAAGCAGTTGAAAAGTAAAGTTTCTACTTTAAAAAGCAAAATATAATATATAGAAAATAAAAAGTCCAGTTATGATTTGTTCATTTAATTTGTTTAGAAATAAATATAGGGACACTGTTTCTATACTCTTATCATACTTTCTTACACTATTATTATAAAACTGGAAAACTCCATTTGCAGTGGCTTTAGGGCATTGCAGTTATATTTAGAGAAAACTGAACATCAGCCCTAGAATTTTAGGAAAGATGGACCCAGACTATCAGAAAGAGTAAGAGAGTGTTAATCTGAATTTTTTCCCTGAGGTGTGTTTTATTTTTCAGTAGGACATAAGAAATATGTATCTCCCAACTCAGTACTGTTAAAGAAAAAAAAGACTCTTAATATTATTTCTTCTCCAAACAGTTTTTGAGGACCTTGTAATATCATAATCACACAGTTTCTCTGTAAGCCTTGCTCAAATTTTTTTAAAGAGCCCAGTTTCAACTGCCTTCCACTTGGAAGAATGGGACCTTAATTGTCTTGTTTTTTTTTTTGTCAGTCTTATCTAACAATGATTGTTTTTGTCTTACCAGTTAATTCTTAAATTCAAAAACTAAAATTCACACATTATTAAATAGGAATAATACACATAATTTATGTTAATTTAATGTGTATGAAATATTTTAACAAGTATTTGCTGTGACAAAGTCACTCAGACTTTAAAAAAGAGAAAATCAGACTCATAAATATATTTTATGTTATTTCACTTTTATTCAATGCGTGTGTAACCACATACTGAATTTCAGGTCATAAAGAAGGCATGATAGTGATAGAAATATGAATAAGACATATTTTACATGTTAAGGAAGCTCACAGCTTACTAAATGAAAGAGAACATGTAGTCAAAAAATGTACTAGGAGCTAGAAAGGATTAACACCAAAATACAAATAAATATAAATCATGTTTTATGAATTTTGATAAGATATTTAACAGCTTTATTTCTTAATTTTCTCATTTGAATATGAGAATAATAATGACAAGATGGAAGAATTGTTTATAGGATTAATGACAATATGATACAGTATTGTTTCATTCTATTAGTAGGTCCTCAAGAGATTAGAACTATTATCATTTTTACTTAAGAGACCTTCATGAAAGCAGAGAAGTTTTATCTGGAATTAAAAGAAAAGAGAGAGAGAGAGACAAGGAGACACATGTGATGTTCCCAGTGGGAGCTCAGAAGCAGATAAAACATTCCAGGTGTATACAAGAAAAGACATTAAAAGAGCATTTTTTTATTCCACAAAGACTAAGAATAAATTCTTAATAGAAAAACATCTCCACTGATTTGATTTAATAAATGAATATTAATTAATATTTTTTCACAAATGTTCTAGAAAGGTAGGCCACTTGGATCATGTTATTTTTTTTTGTATAGTAATGCATTATTTTTCCCTCAAAAAAGAAAGCAGAATAGACTAAACAACTCAGTGTAAATTGGTCAGTAAGGTAGGATCTATGCAGATAAATAGAATAAAACCATTAAAATTTTAACAATTCAAACATGACCACCACTATCCATGAACAATGATATGACGTGTAGTTTAAAAAATGTGATTGCCGTTAGAATATAACCATATCTTTACAATGAATAATACACATGTTGGCTTTGAGAGTAAGTGTAAGCATCAGAATGGAGGGAATGCTGCTGTTTTCGGAAAGAAGAGAGTAGCGCACATTTATCACTGCTCCATAATGTGCATGCACATCAAATAGTTATTATTTAGTCTGGGAATACTGATGCACTTGAGACAACTCATACTAAAACTCCTCAAAAAAAAAGGAATTCGTTCTTCGATAACCCTTTATCATTGTAAAACAATGTCTTTTAATATTTCCTCCTACTTTGTTTAAACAAAATCAAAATTATATGAAAATAAATTTTGGTAGAATTCTGATGCTTAGAGATACTTCCAAGCTTTTATTGGCAGATACTTTTTACTATTAACTGTGCCAAGAGAAACAGCAGGTATTTCTCTTGCCTGTCTTTTGGGGTGGAACTAAGTTCCCTAGTCATTTTATATTTTATCAAAGCTGCCAATGTCACCATATTTGAATGTTCAATGGACAGAACTAGCATATTTCTTGCTGCTCGTGCTACATATTTTTTCCTAAGAATTATTCTCTCATTACTAGATTGTTTTACTTTTTTTATCTTTTCAAGGTAACATTAATAGGTTTTGCTGCCAGTTCTTCAAATGAAGTTAGGAAATTTGCCATTTATCTAAGTTGTTGAATGTTGCTGAAAAATCAAAATTTCATTCTGTAAGATTTTTGCTTAAGCCCATGCTTGTATTAGAGTTCTCCAGAAAACAAGATAAGCAACAGGATGTGTGTGTGTGTGTGTGTGTGTGTGTGTGTGTGTGTATACACACACAAAGAGACTTATGGGGAATTGGTTTACATGATTTTGGAGGCAGACAAATCCCAAGATCTGCTGTTGGCAGGAGTGAGATGCATGAAGAGTGAATGTCTCATTTCAAGTCCAGAGGCAAGGAAAAACTAACGTTCCAGCACAAAAGCATTCAGGCAGGAGGAATTTTTCTCCTATAATGAAGGGCCAGGCTTTTTGTTCTATTCAAACCTTCAACTGATTGAATGTGGCCCACTCATGTTATGGAGGGTAATCTGTTTTATTCAGTCTGTCAGTTTAAATCTTAACTCATCAAAAAACACCCTCGCAGAAACACCCAGAATAACGCTTGACTAAGTATCTGGACACCCATTGTTAAGTCAGGTTAGACACACAATTTAACCATCACAGCACCTGACTTCACATTAAAAAAATGCAAGTAAAAAGATGCAAATTTTTAATAGCACTAGAAGGTAGGTATGTTGATTAATGTTATGACAGGCTCTAGAATAAATGTTCATTACCTACAGCAGGAAGAGATCCTGAGAAATATTAGTGGAGGGTGAGAACTATAGAGAAGAATACTATACCCTTTTTAAATTGAATCTATAGATTTACTTTAGGGGAATAGAATCTTAATTGATTGAAGAAGAAAACTGTCTCTTACTAAATCTATGTGACTTCTTAGGGCATATTCACAGTATTTCTATTAGGACTTCTCTATCTATTTTAAGATTACATTTCCCAATATTGTACAAATAGTGTTAGACAATGCACATGCTATTACTGCATTTTAAGATAGTAGGAAGACCAAAAAATTAGGAAAAGCCACAGGAGCAATATACTGTGGACACAATATTGCTTTACACATTTATGCTAACTAAGGAGAACCTCTAGTTCTCCAAAAACAAAGTACTTTCCATATAGCCAGAGCTAAATATGCAACTAAATAAGTGTTTTATATTATAGCAGAGCCAGTTTAAGTAAATAACTTCCAGATAAAGAAGTTAGTTATAGCCTATGAATGATACTGAGATACTGAAATCATTTACCTGGTGAATGAGAGATACTGAGATGATCCAGCAGTCAAGACTCACTAAATTACACACACACACACACACACACACACACACACACACACCCCACATACACAAATATTCAAAAACTATTGCTTTGGAAACACAGAAAAAAGTTATATCTTTAAATTAAAGTTTTAAAATGAATAGCTGAATGTTAATTTATTTTCTTATGTTAATAACTAATAAAAACAATTTTTTGATGTTGTAAAAAAATGGAAAATAAATGAACCCACAGATCCAAGAAGTTCAAAGTCAAGCATGGAAACACAACACAACACCTTAGTTAAACGGCTTAAAACCAGTGATAACGTCTTAAAAATAGCCAGAGGAAAAAGACACATCATGTACAGATTAAACTGGACAGCAGATTTCTCACTTGAAACAATTCAAGTGAGAAAATTGTGAAGCAATTTATTTAAAGTAATAAAAGAAAAAAGGAATATTTTTCAAATACAAAGACCAAATCAAGACATTCTCAGTCATGCAAAAGCTGAAACAAATCTTACAAAGTCAGAAGTAGGAAAGCTGAAGCAATACAGCAGATCTGTACTACAAGAAAGTCAATTTTGCTTGTCAGACCACATCATCTCAGCCAACTCCTTAGCCTGACTAAGAGAAAGAAATGTCAAAATTAGTCCTTCAGCAAGAAAAATGATGCCAGATGTCACTGTGAATCCCCACAAAAATGCAAGAAATAGCAGAAATGGTAAGTGCGTAAGTATAATAATCTTTTATCACATTATTTAAATATATTTAAAAGATAATTGTGCTTAAAAAAAGACAATAATTAATAGACTTACAGCCTATGTAAAATTAAAATGTGTGGTATGAATAGAGCAAGTATCAGCAGAGGAGAACTGTACACATACCAACATCTGAAATTAAAATAGTCAATTCTGTTTTTTCTTTTTTTTAATTTATTTTTAGAAGAAGTCTCACTCTGTTGCCCAGGCTGGAGTGTAGCACTGGGATCTTGGCTCACTGCAACCTCTGCCTCCCAGGTTCAAGCAGTTCTCCTGTCTCAACCTCCTGAGTAGCTGGGCCTACAGGTGTGCACCACCACGCCTGGCTAATTTTTTGTTGTTGTTAAAATAATCAATTCTTTAAATAAAACCCACTCTTTTCAAACAACTTTTTCTAAAACACTTAGTCCAATGGACTTCAAACTAATCTGAAGTTACAATCCACTAAACCTACCACCTCTTTATTCTCTTTTTACCCTTATTAGAGTCTGTGGCCATCATTATCTTGATTAAACCTATGGTTCACTTAAGCCTGCCCCCTTTGTTACACACTTCTGGAAAATGTTTGGTTTAATCTGTCTATAGCTTACTACAAGCTAATAGAATCTCATTCCTGTATAGTACTTTTTATTTCTCTTGCCTTTAATCCAGGTAACTAATGAAGATTTTCTGAAAATCTGAAAGGGTTTTGGTACCAATTTGAGTTGACTCTAAGGGCCCTTAGTTGAAATAAAAGAAACTAACTTCCGCTAATTGAGTTTTCAGTGTCAGTAACAATGTCCCAAATCACTGCTCAAAACAGGTGAGAAAACCATGACCATCTCCACTGTAATCTAGATGTGGTTCTACTGACACTAATAGCACTAGATCAGTAATTGGCATGAAGCACATGCCACCTCAGAGTCCATCTTGCTGCAATTAGCCTGAACAAGAGAAAGAGATACTTATTGTCCCCAAATGGTTTAACCTTTTACTCTTAATTCAAAGTCTAGGGCAGTGCATCTGATAGATGTAGCTCAAATCACATGCCCAAACTCTGGCAACAAGAATGGCTGAGAAAATGATTATATACATTTCAACCTCCTTAGGCCTTGCCTTCCACTAACACTGATAGAATATTTATTATATATCACATCATAGGTGATAATGATAATATTTCAAGTTCCTGAAACTTAAAAAGATTGTTAAGATATGGGTGTTCAAGACTGGCTCAGGCTCCCAGCCTTCATCTTTCTTCTGTGCTGGATGCCATTGAACATAGGACTTCAAGTTTGTCAGCTTTGAGTCACAACTGGTTTCCTTGTTCCTCAGCTTGCAGACGGCCTATTGTGGGACCTTGTGATCATTGTGTGAATCTTTCACCAGCAACCAAGGTATTCAGGTTCTCTCATCAAAACTGACTAAGAGGTTGGCATGAGCCATGAGAGGAAGGAAGAACAGTGTAGTGTGGTAGCCCACCTGAGACCCACACTGAGCAAGCGACACCCCTCTCCCTAGCTAAGGGAGGCAGTAAGTGAGTGTGCTACCCAGCCGGGGAAACCATGCTTTCTCCACGGAACTGTGCAACCCACAGATCAGAAGATCCCACTCGCAAACCCGTGCCACCGGAGCCTAGTGTCCCAACCCTGGAATGCACAGATTCTCAACAGCCTCTCAGCTGGAATCTGCTGAAGACTAAGGAACTCCAGGGGGGAGGGGTGACCAGCACCGGCTGCCACTGCCTGCTAAGCCAGTTGAGCTCCTTGAGGGAGGGGCAGCAGCCAACACTGAGACTCTCAACTGCCTAACACACTAAGCTCCCTGAGCAGGAGAAGGGTGGCATCCATCTCAATAGCTCCAGACTGGGCTTTTCCCCTGATGCAGCCAGGGAGGCTGGATAGCTTGGTCTTCCACAGCCCAACACACCGGCTGTGGCCATCTGTGTGTTGACCCTGACCCATCCTTCCTCATTGGGAAGGGCTTCCTTGCAAGAACTCCAATAACTCCAGCCAGAGGCTCAGGGATAGAACCTGGATCTCCCTGGAAATGAGCCCCTGGGGGAGAGGTGGCCATAGTCTCCGGAGCAGCAGACTTAGCCTTTCCTCCTGGTAGTTCTGAGGAATCAGAGCAGCCCAGATGAGCGGGTTTCCCACAAGCAAAGCACACCCTCTCCACCAAGGACAAAGTGCTTCATTAAATACATCCCCTTCTCCATGTCACCCAACTGTGTGAGATCATCCAAGAGGGGTTGTCAGATACCCTATACAGAAGCGATCCTACTGGCATCAGATTGGAGCCCCTCGAGGTCAGAGTTCCCAGAAGAAAGGGCAGACACCCATCTTTCCTCTTCTATAGCCGCCTTGAGTGACATCTCCAGGCGTGGGAGTGAATCAGATGAATAGGACCTGAAGTGAACCCCTAACAAACTGTAGCAGCCCTGCAGAAGAGGGACCTGACCATTGAAAGTAAAACAAACTAACAGAAGCAACAACAAAGCATCAACAACAAATAAAGCCCCCAACAAAACCCATCCAAGGGTTAGCAGCCTCAAAAATTGAATCTAGACAAACTCACGAAGATGAAAAAGAATGAATGAAAGAATGCTGAAAACCCAAAAGGCCAGAGTGCCTCTTCTCCAAATGATCGCAACATTATTTCCATCAAGGACACAGACTGGACAGAGGATCAGATGGACAAATTGACAGAAGTAAGCTTCAGAAGATGGGCAACAAGAAACTACGCTGAGCTAGAGGAGCCTGTTCTAACCCAATACAAAGATGCGGAGAAACTTGATAAAAGGTTAGAGGGGTTGCTAACTAGAATAACCAGTTTAGAGAGGAACATAAATGACCTGATGGAGCTGAAAAACAGCATGAGAACTTCGTGAAGCATACACAAGTACCAATAACTGAATCAACCAAGCAGAAGAAAGGATATCAGAGGTTGAAGACCACCTTGCTGAAATAAGACATTCAGACAAGACTAGAAAAAAAAAAAAAAAGAATGAAAAGGAATGAACAAAGCCTCCAAGAAATATGGGACCTCATAAAAAGACCAAACCTATGATTGACTGGAGTACCGGAAGGAGACGGGGAGAATGGAAACAAACTGGAAAACACACTTCAGGATATTATCCAGGAGAACTTCCCCAACCTGGCAAGATAGGCCAACATGCAAATTCAGGAAATACAGAGAACACCACTAAGATACTTCATGTGAAGATCAACCCCAAGACACATAATCATCAGATTCTCCAAGGTCGAAATAAAGGAAAAACTGTTAAGGACAGCCACAGAGAAAGGCCAGGTCACCTACGAAGGGAAGCCCATCAGACCAACAGCAGATCTCTCTGTAGAAACCCTACAAGCCAGAACAGGGTGGGGGCCAATATTCAACATTCTTAAATGAATTAATTTTCAACCCAGAATTTCATATCCAGCCAAACTAAGCTTCATAAGTGAAGGAGAAATAAATTCCTTTCCAGACAAGCAAATGTTGAGGGATTTCATCACCACCAGGCCTGCCCTCCAAAAGTTCCTGAAGGAAGCACTAAATATGGGAAGGAAAAACCTGTACTAGCCACTGCAAAACACAACAAAATATAAAGACCAATGACACTAAAAAGAAACTGCATCAACTAGTGTGCAAAATAACCAGATAACATCATAACAGGATCAAATTTACACATAACAATACTAATTTTAAATATAAATGAGCTAAATATCCCAGTTAAAAGACAAATTGGCAAATTGGATAAATTGTCAAGACCCATTGGGGTGCTGTATTCAGGAGACCCATCTTATGTGCAAAGACATACATAGGCTCAAAATAAAGGGATGGAGGAAAATTTACCAAGCAAATGGAAAGCAAAAAAAAAAGCAGAGATTGCAATCCTGGTCTCTGACAAAACAGACTTTAAACCAGCAACGATCAAAAAAGACAAAGAAGGGCATTACATAATGGTAAAGGGAACAATTCAACAGGAAGAGCTAAATATTTTAAATATATATGCACCTAATAGAGGAGCACCCAGATTCATAAAACAAGTTCTTAGAGATGTACAAAGAGACTTAGACTTCCACACAATAATAGTGTGAGACTATAACACCCCACTGTCAGTATTAGACAGGTCAATAAGACAGAAAATTAACAAGGATATTCAGGACTTGAACTCAGCTCTGGATGAGGTGGACCCAGTAGATGTCTACAGAACACTATATCCCAAATCACCAGAATATACATTCTTCTCAGTGCCACCTGGCACTTACTCTAAAATCGACCACATAATTGGAAGTAAAACACTCCCCAGCTAACGCAAAATAACTGAAATCATAACAAACAGTCTCTCAGACCACAGTGCAGTCAAATTATAACTCAGGATTATGAAATTCACTCAAAACCACACAGCTACATGGAAACTGAGCAACCTGCTCCTACATGACTCCCAGGTAAATAATGAAATTAAGGCAGAAATCAAGAAGTTCTTTGAAAACAATGAGAACAAAGAGACAATGTACCAGAATTTCTGGGACACAGCTAAAGCATTGTTAAGAGGGAAATTTATAGCACTAAATGCCCACATCAGAAAGCTAGAAAGTTCTTAAATTGACACCCTAACATCACAAGTAAAAGGGCTAGAGAGAAAACAAATCCAAAAGCTAGCAGAAGACAAGAAATAACTAAGATCAGAGAAGAACTGAAGGAAACAGAGACATGAAAAGTCCTCCAAAAAAAAATTCAATGAGTCCAGGAGCTGGTTTTTTGAAAAACAATTAACAAAATAGACCACTAGCTAGACCAATAAAGAAGAAAAGAGAGAAGAGTCAGGCTCAATAAAAAATGATAGAGGGTATCACTACTGACCCCACAGAAAAACAAACTACTATCAAGAATACTATAAATAGCTCCATGAAAATAAACTAGAAAATTAAGAAGAAAGAGATAAATTCCTGGACACATACACCCTCGCAAGGCTAAAGCAGGAAGAAGTTGAATCCCTGAATAGATCAATAGCAAGTTCTGAAATTGGAGCAGTAATTAATAGCCTACCAAACAAAAAAACCTCGGGACCAGATAGATTCTCCAATGAATTTGATCAGTGGTACAAAGAGGAGCTCATATCATTCTTTCTGAAAGTATTCCAAAAAATTGAAAAGTGGGGACTCTTCACTGACTCATTTTATGAGGCCAGCATCATCCTGATACCAAAACCAGGAAGAGATACAACAAAAAATGACAACTTCAGGACGATATCCCTGATGAACATCGATGTGAAAATCCTCAGTAAAATACTGGCAAACTGAATCCAGCAGCACAACAAAAAACTTATCCACCACAATCAAGTTGGCTTCATCCCTGGGATGCAAGACTGGTTGAACATGTGCAAATCAATAAATGTAATCCATCACATAAACAGAACCAATGACAAAAACCACATGATTATCTCAATAGATGCAGAAAAGGCCTTTCATAAAATTCAACATCCCTTCATGTTAAAAACTCTCAATAAACTAGGTATTGATGGAACATATCTCAAAATAATAAGAGCTATTTATGACTAACTCACAGCCAATATCATATTGAATGGGCAAAAGCTGGAAGCATTCCCTTTGAAAACCAGTACCAAACAAGGATGCCCTCTCTCACCAATTCTATTCAACATAGTATTGGAAGTTCTGGCCAGGGAAATCAGGCAAGAGAAAGAAGTAAAGGGCATTCAAATAGAAAGAGAGGAAATCAAATTGTCTCTCTTTGCAGACGACATGATTCTATATTTAGAAAACCCCATCATCTCAGCCCAAAACTCCTTAAGCTGATAAGCAACTTCAGCAAAGTCTCTGGATACAAAATCAATGTGCAAAAATCATAAGCATTCCTTTACACCAACCGTAGACAAGCAGAGAGCCAAATCATGAAGGAACTCCCATTCATAATCGTTACAAAGAGAATAAAATTCCTAAGAATACAGGTAACAAGGGATGTGAAGGACCTCTTCAAGGAGAACTACAAACCAATGCCCAAGGAATAAGAGAGGATACAAACAAATGGAAAAACATCCCATGCTCATGGATAGGAAGAATCAATACCTGAAAATGGCCATACTGCCCAAAGTAATTTACAGATTCAATGCTATTCCCATTGAACTACCATTGGCATTCTTTGCAGAAACAGGAAAAACTATTCTAAATTTCATATGGAATCAAAGAAGTCCCGGTATAGCCAAAACAATCCTAAGCAAAAAGAACAAAGCTGGAGGCATCACACTACGTGACTTCAAACTATACTACAAGACTATGGTAACCAAAACAGCATGGTACTGGCACCAAAAAAGACATATAGACCAATGGAACAAAACAGAGACCTCAGAAATACCACACATCTACAACCATCTGATCTTCAAAAAACCTGAAAAAAAACAAGCAATGGGGAAAGGATCTCCTATTCAGTAAATGGTGCTGGGAAAACTAGCTAGAAAAATGCAGAAAATTGAAACTGGACCACTGCATCATATCTTATACAAAAATTAATTCAAGATAGATTAAAGACTTAAATGTAAAACCCAAAACCATAAAAACCCTAGAAGAAAACCTAGGCAATACCATTCAGGATGTAGGCATAGGCAAAGACTTCACGACAAAAATGCCAAAAGCAATTGCAACACAAGCCAAAATTGACAAATGGGATCTAATTAAACTAAAGAGCTTCTGCACAGCAAAAGAAACTATCATTAGAGTGAGCAGGCAACCTACAGAATGGGATAAAATTTTTGCAATCTACCCCCATCTGACAAGCATCTAGTATCCAGAATTTACAAGGAACTTAAACAAATTTATGAGAAAAAAAAACAAACAACCCCATCAAAAAGTGGGCAAAGGATATGAACACTTCTCAAAAGAAGACATTTATGTGGCCAACAGAGATATGAAAAGAAGCTCAACGTTACTGATCAACAGAGAACTGCAAATCAAAACCACAATGAGATATGATCTCATGCCAGTCAGAATGGTGATTATTAAAATGTTGGGAAACAATAGATGCTGGCAAGGCTGTGGAGAAATAGGAACTCTTTTACACTGTTCATGGGAATGTAAATTAGTTCAACCATTGTGGGAGACAGTATAGCAATTCCTCAAGGATCTAGAACCAGAACCATTTGACCCAGCAATCCCATTACTGGGTATATACCCAAAGGATTATAAATCATTCTACTATAAAGACACATGCACACATTTGTTTATTGCAGCACTGTTTACAATAGCAAAGAAATGGAACCAGCTCAAATGCCCATCAGTGATAGACTGGATGAAGAAAATGTGGTACCTATACATCGTGGAATACTATGCAGCCATAAAAAGAATTAGATCACGTCCTTCGTAGGGACACGAATGAAGCTAGATGCCATCATCCTCCACAAACTAACATAGGAACAGAAAACCAAACACTGCATGTTCTCACTCGTAATAGGTAGTTGACCAGTGAGAATACATGGACACAGAGAGCGAAACTAAAGACACTAGGGCCTGTTGGGGGGTGAGGAGAGAGGGGAGGGAACTTAGAGGACGAGTCAATAGGTGCAGCAAACCACCACGGCACATGTATACCTATGTAACAACCCTGCATATTATGTATATATATCCCATTTTGGTTTTTTTTTAGAAGAAATAAAGAAAAACAAAAATAATTTTTAAAAAGATATGGGTGTTCAAAGAGAAGGGCTTATATGCAGCACAACATCTAAAATAAAACATGCTGGCTTGCCACTTTTATTTCTGGTTGCTCTTTTTCCTTCTTTAGTCATTTAAAAATTCTAATTTCTGGCATGTATCTTAATGTGACTTATTTTTTAAACAGTGTCTTTACTCTTTTCACAACAACACACCTTGAATATAAAAAGGAATAAATATTCTTCACTTCTACTAAGAACAGTGCTTACTACCATTTATCTAAAGTGCACAGACCACTAGCCTTTTTTTTCATATTTTCATAGACGCATGAAGAAAAATCTTTCTCCTAAATTTACAATTAAATAATCCAAGCTTCCACAAAAGTTAACAAACATCTCAATCTGGCAGATAATAAGAGAAATAAGTACTATGGCAAAGGAATGTACACAGTCTAAAGAGAGCGGAGCTCCAGCAAACTATTTCCATAGCAAATTGTTGGCCTGGTATTTTCCCATATTTCTCTCTTCTAAGCGAAGTTGAAAATCCAGATTTTTATGTGAAGGGCCATGAATTTTATAGGTTAACATTATTATGCTATAGGTTAATATATTGTAAGCCAAAATATCACACACACACACACACACACACACACACACACACTATATTTGGTGTGTGCACACATAATAAAAGCACATTCACACATAGAAAAGCATGCACATGCACAATGCACAAGCATTCATACACATGCAACCTCCCATCAACACACACAAACAACTGCAGGGTATATTAGGTACATGGGTCTTCATTTCTTTAAAAAAAAGTTCATTATTTTTGTCTAACTTGAACATTAGGCTTTTATGCTTTGAAGCCTAAATATTATACTAAAAATATATTTTCCAAATACAGATAGATAGATGACAGATAGATAGATAGATAGATAGATAGATAGATAGATAGATAGATAGATAGAGATAGATAATAGTGTTACCAGAAACAAAGGAAATAGGAAAAAACATTTTTGATAGTGTTACCACCATAGGAAGTTAACATGAATTGATGGCCATTTAATGAAACTAATTTAGCACAGGAATTTTTTTTTTCACTTCTCTAGATTTGTTAATTTTGGGGGTTACAACTCTTGATTTGATCTGGCTTTCCAGCGTTATCATTGTTGTTTTTAAATCTACTTTTTTGAAAAGATTTTTGGAATTTACTTTCTCTTTGTTGCCTGTAACTGGACCTGTATCATAAACTCGCAATGAAGCTTTCTGCCTCACTGAATCACTTTCACAGACTCTGTATTAAAACCCAGTTGGGCTCTTTCTTTCCTTCTTCCTTTCCTTTACTCTTTCTACATGAGGACAAAGAACTCCTTTGAAGGAAGCCTACAGGGCTCAACATCTCATGAAAGAAGATCGATTATGTTTTTTTTTTTTTTCTCCACAAGTCCCATAAGGCATGAAGTCGCCAGACCAATATCATTATTTTGGGTCAGCTAGCTACAAATTTGAAATTGAGGTTGGTCAGAGTACGACTTCAAATATAGTAACTATATAGATTGCTTGTGCTTAAAAGAAAAATGATATCTTAGATTTGAAATTCTCAATAATACATGTCCATTGCTGCTTCTCTTAATTTTAAATTGCTCTCGGATAGCAAAAATAAATAGTAAGTTTAATAAAATATCAATAAATGCTGTAGTTTGAAATAATGGTTTTCACATTCAAAGTTTTTGGTTATAGTAAAGGTGTGTTACAAACACATATACAATTATATCACACTTGATTGTAGTTTACAATTCTCAGGTAAGGGTAAAATCTACATGTACTAAGGGAATACAAATGTTGGTTTAGTGCTTATCTTGATGTAGTAGACTTCTAGAAGATACCATGAAAGATTATCTTACTTAATTTTTATTAAATATTTAAATCACTAAACCAGATACTAATGCACTCTTCTGTCATTAAAGATATGTAGATGATAGATATTTATATTCGCATATATAATATTAATGTAAATTGCATTTATATTTTCTATATATATTCAATTACAAATATAAAATATCAATAT
Source organism: Homo sapiens (assembly GCF_000001405.40). Classification (NCBI taxonomy): domain Eukaryota; kingdom Metazoa; phylum Chordata; class Mammalia; order Primates; family Hominidae; genus Homo; species Homo sapiens. The sequence goes on along the minus strand of NW_019805491.1, from coordinate 46,755 downwards.
TGATCTATAAAGAGTTAAATAAAATCTATAAAAAGTTAAATAAAAATTCTAGAATTGGAAAAATATAATTAAGATATATTAGTGACTCAGTAGATATCACCAAAAAGAAGAGAATAAATAAACTGGAAGATGAGACAGAAAAAAATACCCAAATTGAAGCACAGAAAGATGAAAAGTGTAAAAGACATACCGCAAAGATCCAATATTATTATGGTAACTGAAATCCTAGAAGCAAAGAAGAGAAAAAAGACTTCGCCAAGTCAAATACACAAAAATCTCTGCGAAATCTAGGAAAAATGATTTCTAATAATTTTCAATTCACACAGACATATCATAGGAAGACTTCAGAAAACAAAGAACAAAAAATTCTACCTGAATGAGCAAGATAAGAAGCATTACCTTCAAAACAGCAATAATAAGAGAGATGAATTTCAACAGAAAATACATGAAAAAAATTAAAAATCCTAAAATTTCCATTAGGGAAAAAAAAATCCCTTCCAATCCTGCGTTTCATATTCAATGAAAATATCTATCCCTACCTGTTTCCTGGCGTCCGCCGGCTGAGGCTCCTAGCCCTGGACTTCTGGCCGTCGCCCCAAGATGGCGGACACGATGAGGTGGCGCTGCGTCGGTTGCCCCTGAGGTGTCTGTGAGGACTAACGGTCGGCGAGGCTCCACAGTTGAGGCGGAAGACAGTCGTCCAAGCAGGAGGAAGAAAAGGAGGCGGCCCCACTGCCGGCCGACTTCTCGCTAGCCACCGGCTCAACACCGCCGCCACCAGGGGTTGGCCCCTCAGCAGCCCGCCCGCTGCCAGTCCCGGCTGCCTTCCCCACCCGCCGCCATGAAGCTGACCGACAGCGTGTTGCGGAGCTTCCGCGTCGCCAGGGTGTTTTGCGAAAACTCGGACAAGATTAACTGCTTCGATTTCAGCCCCAACGGCCAGACGGTCATCTCAAGCAGCAACGACGACTCCATCGTGCTATATGACTGCCAGGAGGGCAAACCAAAGAGAACCCTGTACAGTAAGAAATATGGCGTGGACCTCATCAGATACACTCATGAGGCAAACACAGCTGTTTACAGCTCTAACAAAATAGACGATACTATTCGTTACTTGTCCTTGCATGACAACAAATACATCAGATACTTTCCTGGACATAGCAAAAGAGTGGTGGCCTTGTCCATGTCACCTGTGGATGACATTTTCATTTCTGGGTCTCTTGATAAGACCATTCGACTCTGGGATCTCCGGGCTCCTAACTGCCAGGGCCTCATGAGTCTACAGGGGAAGCCAGTTTGTTCTTTTGATCCAGAAGGGTTAATTTTGGCTGCAGGTGTCAACTCTGAGATGGTCAAACTTTACGACCTTCGTTCTTTTGATAAAGGGCCATTTACTACCTTTAGGATGCAGTGTAATCGAACTTGTGAGTGGACAGGACTTAAATTCAGCAACGATGGCAAGGTCATCCTCATTTCCACCAACGGCAGCTTCATTTCCCTCATTGATGCTTTCAAAGGAGTGGTGATGCACACGTTTGAGGGTTATGCCAACAGCAAAGCTGTCACACTGGAGGCTTCATTTACTCCAGATTCTCAGTTTATTATGATTGGTTCAGAGGATGGCAAGATCCATGTCTGGAATGGAGAGAGTGGTATAAAAGTAGCTGTGTTGGATGGTAAACACACCGGCCCAATTACCTGTTTGCAGTTCAACCCCAAGTTCATGACTTTTGCCAGTGCGTGTTCCAGCATGGTCTTCTGGCTGCCCACCATTGATGACTCACCCTGATGCTGCTCCGCTATTTCTGTACAGTGAGGGCGGCCATAGGAAGAAACTCAGAGGGGTCTGAGATAGTAGGGGGATTGGATCATTTGACTGGGCTGGAGAGCATCCTTTACTTGGCCTTCTCATGGATGTGCTGTACATCTGCTCAAAAGAAAATAATTACTTTGCTGAGCATCTTCAAAAGAACTCTGGTGCAACAGACTCAATTGGAACTCAGCTTTTCTAGCTGTCACTGCACCAAGCTCTGCTAGAGGAGTGACCAGACTCACGATTTGGGTATAGTGGGGCTCTCAAGACATCTTCAATTTGAATGTACATGCTGCTGAGGAGCCAGTGAAGTCATCAGCTCTGCACATCCCTTCTCCTACCCCGCTGAATGTATGGAAAGCTACAGTCCTGGTTTTGAAATGCTAGAGCAGCTCAGCGCCCCTTGCCCTCACCTTGCATGTCTTGTTACTGGGTCTTCCTGTGTACTTGTGACATTGTCCACAACCATCATGTTTATTAGGTGCCAGACATTTACAGAAATGTTTTCATATTGGGGTCAGAGAAAGAGACAGATACAGAAGGACCTTGCTTGCAGGAAGCCATGAAGTTAGTCACTGCAATTAGTCATGTGAAGCTAGGTAGTTTGGCAGGCCTCAGGCTCTAGGTGTTGGATGGGAAAAAGCCCAAGGGCCTAAAAGGGAGTGTAAGGGGATGGTAGCAGGTGAGTTCCTAGGGCTGGAAGGTTTAGCAGCAGTGTGGTGCAGTGCCCTGTCATCAAGACAAACCCACGGTCCTCCTGGGTGCCTACCAAGCTTGGTTTGCACAAAAGCAAGGTTAGAGTCTATTTATGTACATGAGATAACATCACACATTCCTGTGGGCCAGTATTGTGAAGTGAGTCTGAGTTCTCTACACTGATGCCTTCCCTGCCCACCACTAATTGTGTACATAGTTTTCCCAGCCCACCACAAATTGTGTACCTTTCCCCAGCTCCCAACCAGGAGCTAGTTCTAGGCCTGTGTTATATTTAGCCTTTTATTATATGACCTTTGATTTCTGTTGTTTGTATTTTAGCCCAGTGTATGCACCTTCATTTAAATACATCTGTGTGCATACAGATATGTGTATATGTATGTGCATATGCATATATCTCTCTCATCTGTAATTTCTGAGAGTTCAGCTGAAGCAGACGGAGTCCTACAGCCCAGGAGACACATTGCATCCTTGCTAACCGTGTTCACCACAAGTGTTAGTGAGTCTTCCCTATTAACGTTTCATTTCGGAAGACTGAATGAAGCAAAGCTTATAGTGTTTGCTGTTTCCATGGCAGCCAAGTGAAGGTCTTGGGATGACTCCCTGTGTTCCTCAAGCTGTACTTTGGGGCTCTCTCTGCAGTATTAACCCCTTTCTGCTTGGTGGTACTCTGTACCTGTGTGTGATAGTCACTTTTGCATGGCTTCTGTGTCTGGCTTGTGGCATTTAGGGATAGGGTGTTATAAAGTATATCAAACTCTTTATATGCTAAATTCTAAGGAAAATTTATCATATGACTTCTTACATAGGACACAATGAATGATATTATGGCCACTGCTTTGTTTCATTTGAAATTAATAAACATAACACGAGATTAAAGGGATACTTTATATCCATGAGTTCATTTATTTTTACACAACATTACATTTGTCTTTTCATAATGTTTATTTATAAACACGTATATGCACATACCATTTTTCAATTGGAATGGAAATATTTTCGTTGTCAATACCTGATAGTGAGGAAGTATTACAAGATAATTTCAGGACACTACTCCTTATTATTTTAACTTTAAAAATTATAACCTGGCCGTGCACGGTGGCTCAGGCCTGTAATCCCAGCACTTTGGGAGGCCGAGGCTGGTGGATCACAAGGTCAGGAGTTCGAGACCAGTCTTGCCAATATGGTGAAACCCCGTCTCTACTAAAAATACAGAAAAATTAGCTGAGCTTGTTGGCGCATCCCTGTAATCCCAGCTATTCAGGAGGCTGAGGCAGGAGAATTGCTTGAACCCGGGAGGCGGAGGTTGCAGTGAGCCGAGATCACACCACTGCACTCCAGCCTGGGCGATAGGGCGAGACTCCGTCTCAAAAAAAAAAAAAAAAAATAAAAAATAATAATAGTAATCATGTTCAATTAACTATTGAAAAATATCACATTTAAAAGAATCATACAAGGGACATTTAGTCATTTCCAGAACTTGAGTTACAAAAAGTATATATTATATTTATAAAGTTAATTTCTGAAGTGGGACTAATTATTTTAGCCAAGTCACCATGCCTGTAGTGGATAGACCAAATGGAACACTTGGAGGGATGGTTTCTCAACCTGAGCTTCACATGATTCTCCTGGGGCACCTTTTAAAAGTGGCAAGAGAAATCTCAAATAATAGTGACTTGAACAAGATTGAGGTTTATTTTTTTCAAGTAACAACAAGAATGAAAGCAGGCAGTCTTAATCTAAAGTAGCAACCCAAAGATTTCTGGGTTGATGTCACTATAAGTCTGTGTCCTTTCCCTTAAGGTCAATTTTAAGATGGTAACTGTAGCTTCAGTTGTTTCTTCAATTAGTGCTACAGAATACAGGATTTTAACAGGGTACTTGTCATCTCCAATAAATTTAGATTCTGTTAAAAAAGACAAATATTTGTAGATTAGAAAACAATCTTTACTACTCCTGTGATGTTCTATGAAGTCCATCACTTCACTGTTCTGAAGTTACACTTAAAATATAAAACAATAACATGAATAGGAAAGAGATAATGTAAAATTATATCACCTCCACACTAAATATAATTAGAAGCTATTATGATAAAGACAACTTATAAATGAAAATATACAAATTTTGCACAAACTTTATTTTCCATGAAGTAACCATGTCTACACATTAAAAATGTTAAAAAAGCAGCTGAGAACAATATTTTTACAGAAGGCCACTACAAAAATTACTACTGTTAAAAGGTTAGAAGGATCTAAATTTGAACTACATTGTCTTTAGTCCAAACCTCTTAGTGGATTCATTAACTCCACCAAAATAAATTTTTGAAGTGAAATAACCCTTGTTCTCAACATGTGATACTACATTTGATATAAAAGTTTAAACAAATTTTTTAGAACTGAGGACAATAATGACCTGACCCTTGAGTAAAAAAGTATGGCCTTTTTGTTTTATTAGTTATGCTGACCATAGTCCAATTTTGAATAGTGTGCTTTATAAAGTAAAATTTTCTGTGTCAGCATACCTTAAAAGTTAGAAACTTTTGCAATTATTTCCCAACAGAGATGAATTAATTCACAGCAAACTTCTCAAAGCTGCTAATGACTGCATGATCAGGTAATTTTATTGTTTTAGCAATGATAAAATGCATTTAAATTTCACTCAACTTTTCCTTGCTTAATGTATATCTAATAGAAAAAGATATCTTCACTCATTTGCAAGGTTATTAGTTTTTATTTCGTTTGGTGGAATGTTAGTATGATAGATCTTCTAAATTTTGAACTACATTGTCTTTAGCCCAAACCTCTCCCTTGCTCTTAGACATTTTTCAAGGATGTCTTTAAGCTTGCAACTTTACTATTACTTTAAAGATGTGATTAAAGAACAGTGTATTATTTTGAAAACTTGACCATGGACAATGACAAAATAACTAAAATGAAATAGGGAATGAATTATCACATTTCAACAAAATTTTTCTTAATCATAAGGGCTAGAATAACTGAATTTTATTTCTAGTTCCTCTTCACTAAAGTGCCTGAATAAAATTACACTTTTTAAGAGATGAAAATATGGTAAAGACCATCCACCTTCTAATGACAATCTACTCCAGGGTTATGATCTGAGCACATTCATTCATCTCCTTTCCTATGATATCATAAAAGTTCAGTAAAGAGTTAAAAGACCAACTCGCAGCAATAAAAAGTGTTTAGATGATATAAATCAGGTGAGAAGTGGAGCCTGATGAATCGAAGACAAAGTGACAAAATAAAATCTGCAATGAGAAAGTCTTTGACTTCCAGAACCCTGATGAAGGCAAGACCCCCAGACAAGCAAGTTCAAGTCAGAAGGCTAGCTGAAACAATGAATAGATTGAATGTCCATATAGACCAGCTGCAAGTTTCTCTTGCTCAAGCACCACTCTGGGCAGATAGATTGGCACTTTATCATCAAACAATAATCAATAAATCAATCAGTAACTCGACTGAAGAATTCTCTTAAAAAAGTCCACAAGTCATGCCTCAATACACAGTAATTGAGTCCAGCTTTTATGTTGCCATAAAATAAAAATAAATGGATATCCAAGAGCCTCCAATATCTTACGAGATTGCAGTATCAAAGAGAAAAACTGAGATAATCAACTCAAACTCATATACTGAAATCATGAAGAGTAAGGAACTTTAGCAAACAGATAAGCACACAGATCATAAATTGTGATTTGTATTATCAACAATATTTGAAAAACACAGCATCTAAACTTAGGAAGATTAAAAAAAAGTCCAAGAACAAGAACTAAAGTCAAATATTCAGTAAAAGAGCTGAAAAGTTTTTTAAAAGAATATTTAGAAGAAAAAAAGAACAAGAAATGAAGCATATGCGAATAAAACAGTAAGACGCTGATTTTATCTGATTTTTAAAAGTTACAGAGATAACATAAGAAAAGTAGATTACTTGGATGGTAATAAAGACGAATTTATTAAATAAAAATTACAGGAAAATTTTCCAGAGTTTAAGAAAAGGGTCTTTCTATTGAAAGGGCTCACACTGACACATTACAAACAAACAAACAAAACCCTTACTTAGGGCACTATATTCTGAATAACAGATGATTCTTGGCCAAATAGAAATACAATTTGAGCTGCATATGTAATTTTAAATTTTTCAATAGTCACTTCTGAAAAGCAAAAGAAATAGGTTAAAAATAAATTTATTGATACGTTGTTGAAGCCAGCTATACCCAAAATATCATAACTTCGCTTTTAATCAATGCTGAATTATTGAGATATTTGGAGCTCATTTTTGTATAAGTCTTCAAAATTCACTATTTATTGTTATAACACATTTCATTTGGATGCTAAATTTTTGTACAAAGTATTTAATCTATATTTAGATTTTATAAAATCTACAGCTCAAAAAAATAGATTTACATGAACAAGTTTTTCTAAATATTTTTTAAAGTTTTTAATAACTAGTTAAACTATCCAATACAAATTTAAACTATTTAAAATAAAATGTAAAGACATTTGCATCAGTTGCATTAGACAAACTTCACGTACTCAATACCAATAAATGTCTAGTGGCCATCATATGGGTTAGCACTGTTCTAGATCACCTCGATTAAAATTAAATTCTAGAGCTTTTAGAAAGAATGTAAGAATAGGGCAAGCAGGGAAATGAGTACACAAATATTTTACAAAAGAACAGAAATCTGTCTAGCATCTTAACACCCATGTACAAAATTCTTTGGTACAATAAACAGAAAGAAGGCCTACAAGGAGATATTTGTTAAAGGGTACACTGTTTCATTTAGGATAAATACATTCTGGAGATCCATTGTACAGTATGGTGACTATAGTAAACAATAATGTGTTGCACACTTGAAAATTGCTAAGACAGTAAAGCTTAAATGTTCTCACCACAAAAAATGATAGTATGTGAGGTGACAGATACTTTAATTCGCTTGATTTAGCCATTCCATAATGTCTACATACATACAAACATATTCTATACACTATGAATACATAAAATTTTTGTTTGTATTATGTATTAGAAAAATTGGGGGAGAAAAGAAAAAGGACCTAATTTCTGAGAGACAAATTATTTTCAATGTAGAATAATGTATCTACCTAAAATATAATTCAAGTGGAAGGGAAAAACAAAAGCATTTCAGGAATAAAGAAATTTCTAGTATTCAGAACTATTATTTTCATGTACATTTCTTAGAAATTATTTAAAGATTCATTCTATCAAAGTTACTGTAGAGAAAGATGTGCTATTAAGAAAAGTGTATATTTCAGGATCAAAGATCAGCAGGTCCGTAAAATGATAATAACAAATTTGACAAGATGACAGAGCCTTCAAGAGGAGATTGAAGAGGGGATCTCTGGATCTGGGAGAGGACAATTCAAATATTCACATAGTAAAGTGCCTATGAAGAAAATGAAAATACTGTAATGGCAGAATAAAAAATAGAGCACATCAGAACGTGATTAAAGGATCATTGTACAATGACTGGAAAAGAAAACCACAAAACATAGTTATAGAAAAAATTATGGATTGTATTCACCTTAAAAATATAAAAGTAAATCAATGAACAGAGATGGAATATTAAAAGGAGATGGAAAAGAGAGGGAAGGAGGAATATTTTATAATCATTAAAAAGAAAAAATAAAGATATTTATATGGTTGATTAAAAAATTAATATATAATACTGATTTGTTTGAAAGCTGGAGTGACAAATAGAGTCTCTGAAAATACTGATATAAATATGTCAAGAGATAACAGGAAGAAGAGGCATCACATTGTTTGAGTAAGCTAGGATTTCATCCATCATAATGGGAGCACAGAAAAAAGTGTACATAATTGATGAATAATGAAAAAGTGTCTTGGCATAGTATTTAGAAAATTGAGGTAATCATAAGATGTACTCAAAACAGAAAGCTGGTAAAGGTAACTGCCTGAAAGAAGAGAGATAAGACAAAAAATATTATTTTGCATCATAAAATATTCATTGATTTTACCTGTCGTGTTTTGTTGTGTTTTTAACCATATATAACATACAGTATATTATACATATATAACATACAGTATATTATACATATATAACATACAGTACATTATACATATATAACATACAGTACATTATACATATATAACATACAGTACATTATACATATATAACATACAGTACATTATACATATATAACATAGTATATTATACATATATAACATATAGTATATTATACATATATAACATATAGTATATTATACATATATAATATATAATTATAAATTATATATAGTATCTTACAACTATATAATATAAAATTATAAATTATATATACTATTTTATAAATATAAAATTATAAATTACATATACTATATTATAAATATAAAATTATAAATTACATATATTATATTATAAATATATAATTATAAATTATATATATTATATTATAAATATATAATTATAAATTATATATATTATATTATACATATACAATTATAAATTATATATATTATATTATAAATATACAATTATAAATTATGAATATTATATTATAATATATAATATAAAATTATATATTATCTTATAATATATAATTATAAAATTATATATTATCTTATAATATATAATTATAAATTATATATTATATTAAAATATATAATATAAATTTATACATATTATGTTACAAATATGTAATATAAAATTATATATATTATATTATAAATATGTAATATAAAATTATATATATTATATTATGAATATGTAATATAAAATTGTATATATTATATTATAAATATGTAATATAAAATTATATATTATATTATAAATATGTAATATAAAATTATATATATTATAATATAAATATGTAATATAAAATTATATATATTATATTATAAATATGTAATATAAAATTATATATATTATATTATAAATATGTAATATAAAATTATATATGTATTATAAATATGTAATATAAAATTATATATAGTATTATAAATATGTAATATAAAATTATATATATAGTATTATAAATTTGTAATATAAAATTATATATAGTATTATAAATATGTAATATAAAATTATATATATTGTATTATGAATATGTAATATATATTATTATATATATTGTATTATGAATATGTAATATATAATTATATATATTGTATTATGAATATGTAATATATAATTGTATATTGTATTATGAATATGTAATATATAATTATATATAATATTATGAATATGTAATATATAATTATATATATTATATTATGAATATGTAATTTAAAATTGTATATTATATTATGAATATGTAACATATAATTATATATTATATTATAAATATTAATATTATAAATATGTAATATATAATTATATATTAGATTATAAATATATAATTATAAATTATATATAGTATTATAAATATATAATATAAAATTATATATAATATTATAAATATATGATTATCAATTATATATAGTATTATAAATATAATATGATAAATTGTATAGATTATAGTATAAATATATGATTATAAATTGTATATAGTATTCTACACAAAATATGATAAATTGTATAGATTATATTATAAATATATGATTATAAATTGTATATATTGTATTCTACATATAATATGATAAATTGTATAGATTATATTATGAATATGGATTATAAAATATATATATGTATTCTACATATAATATGATAAATTGTATAGATTATATTATGAATATGTGATTATAAAGTATATATATTGTATTCTACATATAATATAATAAATTGTATAGATTATATTATGAATATGTGATTATAAAGTATATATATTGTATTCTACATATAATATGATAAATTGTATAGATTATATTATGAATATGTGATTATAAAATATATATATTGTATTCCATGTAATATAAATTGTATAGATTATATTATGAATATGTGATTATAAAGTATATATGTTGTATTCTACACATAATATGATAAATTGTATAGATTATATTATGAATATGTGATTATAAAGTTTATATATTGTATTCTACATGAAATATGATAAATTGTATAGATTACATTATGAATATATGATTAAGAAGTATATATATTGTATTGTACAAATAATATGATAAATTGTATAGATTATATTATGAATATATGATTAAGAAGTATATATATTGTATTGTACATATAATATGATAAATTGTATAGATTATATTATGAATATATGATTATAAAGTGTATATATTGTATTCTACATATAATATGATAAATTGTATAGATTATATTATGAATATATGATTATAAAGTATATATATTATATTCTACATATAATATGATAAATTGTATAGATTATATTATGAATATATAATTGTAAAGTATATATAGTATTCTACATATAATATGATAAATTGTATATATTATATTATGAATATATGATTATAAAGTATATATATTGTATTCTACATATAATATGATAAATTGTGTAGATTATATTATAAATATATGATTATAAAGTATATATAGTATTCTACAAATAATATGATAAATTGTATAGATTATATTATGAATATATGATTATAAAGTATATATATTGTATTCTACATATAATATGATAAATTGTATAGTTTATATTATGAATATATGATTATAAATTATAGATAGTATTCTACATATATGATAAATTGTATAGATTATATTATAAATATATGATTATAAAGTATATATATTGTATTCTACATATAATACGATGAATTGTATAGATTATATTATAAATATATGATTATAAATTATATATATTGTATTCTACATACATACAATATGATAAATTATATAGATTATATTATAAATATATAATTATAAATTATATATATTGTATTCTACATATATGATAAATTATATATATTATATTATAAAGATATAATTTTAAATTATATATATTATATTATAGATATAATTTTAAATTATATATTATTATAAATAGATAATTATAAATAAATAATATATATTCATTATATATTAGTATATTATAAATATACATTATTAATATATAATAAATATATATTATCAATATTATATATAATATATTATATAATGTATCATATAATATATTGTATACAATATATTATATACAATATATAATATATTATATACAATATATTATATATTATATACAATATATTATATATTATATACGATATATATTGTATACAATATATTATATATTATATACAATATATTATATATGATATATATAATCCAATGTGATTTTAATTTTTAAATAAAAAAACAAAAATTGGGAAGCCAAAACAATATGAATGCTTGGTTCAATCAATAAATGTTTAATGATCATATGCTATTTTCCAGGCACTGTTTTCAGAACTGGAATTGGAATGGTGAATAATACATTCGACCTCCCATCAATTTGCTTCCAATTTAATTAGGATTAAATCAAGAAATATGCAAATTAAGACCAAAATACCATATGACATATGCTATGTTGCTTTTATTCAGGGTGTTCTGGGGACACTATGGATATCAAACTTAGCCTTAGGAGTTCATTAAAAAGAAAGTAAGAAAATCTGACCTGAATAGTTTTATATTTTAGAAAAAATTTTGAATTGCAGTGAGGAAAGGACAAACTTTTTAGGAGACTGTTGTATAAAATGCAAACAAGAGATAACAGTAGATCTGCACTAAAAACAAATCGGGGGAATGCATGAATTTAAGAGCTATTTAAGGAGAGAATAATAGCACTGATGAATATATAGAAAAAATTAAAATATTCCCAATTCTTCTCTTTGGCAACTGTTTGAATTAGCATCACTTGCTGGATGAAAAAGAGAGAGAGAAGTAAATACAGAAAAGTCAATAAATTTAGTTTTTAATACTATTCATTCAAAATACTGATTTTAAAATGCACCTATGGAAAGAAGCCTACACAATCATATACATTTTATTTTAAATGCTTAAGAGGAGTTTACAAGTTTTAAGGAGAAATATCACTATTTGCATTTTTTGTCCTTTCCAGCAATATAGCCAGCTTCTCACTTTTGTTGTTAACTAAAAAAAAAAAAATTCAAGGTGATATTATAATTTTTAAAAACACAGGGTATTTTCTTTTAAAATTTAACTAAGATTGAAAGCAAAAGTCTTTCTTACAGGATAATTCACCATCGATACAATTTTTTTTTATGAAATTTCTCAAATAGAATTCATATTGTTTTGCCAAAGACCACTTACAGTCACATGAAATTCAAGTTTTAGAATAAATTTTGAAAGTACTATCAAATGCTCAGTATTAACTGCAAAAAGAACATTTGAAATTTAAAATCTTAACATTTACTGGTTATAATACTTAGAGCTGAAATTCTACCCTCACATTCGGAAGAGAAATACGTATTCAGAATGAGAAATAGTTGTCAAAGTAAATATATTTTTACACTTCCAAAAGTGTAATTCAAACTAGCAACTACTGTTTTTATCATGTTTGCCTTCCCGTGCAACCTTTCACAAACTACTGAATTCATCTGATGAATTCTAAAACTAAATATCTGTTGACACCTTTATTAGTGTCTTAGAATGAGAAATACATATTTTGCTCCCTTAGAGAGAGATAAGCATGTTGAAAAAATCTGTTTACCTATCTATATCTATCTATCTGTCTACCTATATTTATATGTTAAGTATTATACTAAAAATGTGAAATGAAAATACAGAAAAAGGAGAATTTTTGATTTAATATTAAATGTATTTTTGATCTGAATATTATTCTACTCAATTATTCAAAATAAATTCCAAATGCCTATTATTGAAAAAATAATTTGGTTCAAATTTTAAACAAAAAGTCCCTCAGTGATTTTAAAAATTATGTCACCTTGAAATTTTTTTTAGTTAACAACAAAAGTGACAAAAATTGAAGAAGACAAAATAATTTGACAGAAACATGTTGCACAGCACAGATCTAAAATCTAGTACTATGGACAAATTCAGAATTTCATCACAAAATTTTTACATGTGAAATAATGCTTTCACAATTGATTTGCCACAATACTGGGGCATTGATTCTTCTGATGAAAAAGTATCTTTGAGACAGCCATTCTTGCTATAATTATTGTTGATACAGCTGATGATTTTGAAAAGCTCTTGTATCAGTTTGCTGTCACCACAAACTATTGCAAAATAAACAACCACACACCTCAGTGACATACTACAATATGTGCTGATTACTCACAAGTCTAGGTTTCTGCTAGAAGTTATCTGATCTCAACCAAGGCCGTTCTTGCGTCAGAGAGGCATCTGACTCATTCTAGTCTAGGACATTTCTACTTTACTTTACATTATCTCTTACCCTTCTAAGACCAGAAGACTAACTTAAGTATGCTATTCCCTTTGTAATGATAAAAGGACAAAAGAGACAAAATCCTATCGCATAAATCCTTTTCAACACTCTCACTGGGCAAAATACGGCTGACCCCAGGGACTGAGAATTATATATAAGAGCAAAAAGAAGATCAAGACAAATTCACAAGGCAAAGGTCAAGGGCATGGGGGTTAGTGGAGATTTTGGTCCAGTGCTAAAATCTACCACACATCTAAAGGGAGGTTTTTGTTTTGAAAAAAAATCAACGTATGATAAAGGGATTCACCAACAATTCAAACATATATTATCCTTTTAAAAAAGTACAAAATTTCCTAAACAAGCATGGTAGCTTGTGGCATTATTTTTATTATGGCTGTTATTCTGACCATTTGGAGTAGATGTGCCTCTTGTTTACAGTGAGTAAAAGTAGTATGGTGATGCATGAAAGATAAAAAAAAAAAAATAGCTCAAGTAACACAAGCTGACGCATGAAAATAAAAGGAGAAACTAATTAATAAAAAATTTTCTAGGCTGGGCATGGTGGCTCATGACTGAAATCTCAGCACTTTGGGAGGCCCAGGCAGGTAGATCACTTTAGATCAGGAGTTTGAGACCTGCCTGGTCAATATGGTAAGACCCGATTTCTAGTAAAAATACAGAAATTAGCAGCTGAGGTAGGAGAATCGCTTGAGCTTGAGAGGCGGAGATTGCCGTGAGCTAAAATCGTGCCACTGCACTCCAGCCTGGGTGACAGAGGGAGACCCTGTCAAAAAAGAGACAAAAACAGTTATTTTACTACAGAAGAAAACAAGTGTTATTATTTTCTTATTTGAAAAATACATGAATTTCAAGCCATAATACATATTTGTAACAATGGAATTCAATTATAGTGAGATAAGAGTGACCTGAATTTGAATTTTATCTTTAAAGCATCTGACTACCACACATTTGTCAAATTTTCACATTTTAGACATGATAAAGAGTGATTAGTGGGAGAATATTTTTAAGACATTACTTTAGCAACCAACAATGAGGCAAGACCCTCCGCCAGAAAAAAAGATTATAATTTGCTGAAGGCTGATGATCGTTAGCATTTTCTAGCATTAAAGTATTTTTAAATTAAGGTAGGTACATTTTATTTATTCATTTATTATACTTTAAGTTCTAGGGTACATGTGCACAACGTGCAGGTTTGTTACATATGTATACATGTACCATGTAGGTAGGCTGCACTCGTTAACTCCTCATTTACATTAGATATATCTCTGGAGTTTCGCTCTTGTTGTTCAGGCTGGAGTGTGCTAGGGCGATTTCGGCTTGCTGCAACCTCCGCTTCCCAGGCTTGAGCGATTCTCCTGCCTCGGCCTCCTGAGTGGCTGGGATTGCAAGCGCCCGCCACCATGCCTGGCTAATTTTTTGTGTTTTTGGTAGAGATTAGGTTTCACCATGTTGGCCAGGCTGGTCTTGAGCTCCTGATCTCGGGTGATCCGCCCGCCTCGGCCTCCCAGAGTGCCGAGATTACAGGCGTGAGCCACTACACCCAGCCGGTACATCATTTTTTATGACATAATGTAACTGCACACTTAATGGACTACAGTATAGGGTAAATATAGCTTTTATATGCACTGGGAAACAAAAAACTCACATGACTCAATTTATTGCAATATTTGCTTTATTGCAGTGGTCTGGAGCCAAACCCACAAGAGCCCCCTGGTATCCTTGTAACACTATACTGCTCTGTGAGGAGTGCAAGTATCTTATAATTACAAAACATTTCTAATTCCTCCCTCCCATCTCTTGTATCATTGCTGTCATTCCTTTCATTTGCACGTAAGCACATTGTTGCTATTACTATTTTGAACAAACTGCCTACTGTCACACCAATTAAAAATGAGAAAAATGAAAGTTTTTATTTTACCTTAAAAAAAAAAAGACATTAATTTAACTGGAGTCATTAAGTGATTTCTACTTGGATGCTTATAGAGGTACTAAATTATTTCTAATTTTCTTCTGGATTATTGATTTAATGAATTAAAATATTTGCCACACATTCAAGATTGCCTACCAAAGTTAATGAGTTAATTCTCTTTTTTTTTTTGCCAATTTTGACAAGCTCTATAGAAATAAACCAATATACATATTTTAGAGCTAAACATACATTGTTAATGTTTTAAAATTTTAAAATGTAATATCAAATATAAAATTATTTTTCAAAATGTTCAAACATTTCTAGGAATTTGATTTTATTTACAATAAGTGAATCATGTGTGTTCCATATGAAAACACTTTATATAAATCTTTCATCATATTTTATTTTAGCAAAATTAGCTGTAATTTTCTTAATTATTCCAAATTTCATGAAATAAATAAGGAATCTGAGAAGCATATGAAAATATATTTCATAAATTTTCCCAAGTTTGATTAATGAAGCAAGAATATTATTCACTATTCACAAAATGAAGTTTTCAGTCTATCAGACAGAGGTTGTTGAAATATAGGAGAAAAGTTCACACAGGTTTTTTATAACAATATGTGTGTATATTGATAAATAGATATAGATCATAGATAATGATATAGAGATATAAATCTGATATATGATATAGATATATAATTCTTTGTAGCCATACCTACTAAATGATGAAAAGCTTTTTATAAACAATATTTATAAAAGTATCCAAAGTCTTTTGTGTGAGAAATTATTTCTGATGATATTTAAAATGAAACAGGAATTAAGAGAGGAAATGTGTCATGAAAACTAGCCTTGCAAATATACGAAAGTTATTGTCTTAAGATAAATGTAAATATCCTAAAGACTTAGTAAACTGTTCTCCTCCAAAATCCATACATGAATTAAAAATAAAATAGCAGAAATTTAGATCCAAATTGGAGCTTGGAGAAGATTTAATCTAATTATTTAATGAGAAAGTAAATCCCTATCAAGTTATAGAGATAGGGTTTCAGCTATTGCATCTGTCATACTTATCTGTTAAAGTAGACCAAGGCCAGAACCCAGGTTTCTTGTTTCCCACCCTGATGCCCTTTCAGCAATTCCATACTAACCCTGAGAGGAAAGGATCCTTGTAGCAATAAAATGCATTATTCTGTTGCTAACTCTTTTTTTTTTTTTTTTTTTTTTGAGACGGGGGTCTCGCTCTGTCGCCCAGGCTGGAGTGCAGTGGCGCTATCTCGGCTCACTGCAAGCTCCGCCTCCCGGGTTCACGCCATTCTCCTGCCTCAGCCTCCCGAGTAGCTGGGACTACAGGCGCCCGCCACTGCGCCCGGCTAATTTTTTGTATTTTTTTTAGTAGAGACGGGGTTTCACTGCGTTAGCCAGGATGGTCTCCATCTCCTGACCTCGTGATCCGCCCGCCTCGGCCTCCCAAAGTGCTGGGATTACAGGCGTGAGCCACCGCGCCCGGCTTGCTAACTCTTTGGACTTTGAATCTGGAGCAATGTGAGGGAAAATTGAAGTCACAGCTGAGCAGACAAATCTGACAAAATACACGCCACTGTTTTCTTCAGTGAGCCACCTACAAAGAATTTCTGATACTAACAAGTATAGCTTGAATGTCAGAATGTGGCAGGCACCCAGGGTTGTCACTCCACCAAAATAACAGAGCTGTCAACACATCTTGATTTCCTCTATAATTAGACAGATTTAGTCTATTAACCACTTGAATGCCCAATGGACAAATGGTATATTCATAAAGCAGCACCTGTAGCAAGAAATGAATTCTGAAAAAATTGCTTTTTAAAAACAAAAAAACTAGGTTTAATAGGCAGAAGGTTTCTTTCAAAAGTACTTCTAAGAGACTGCCTAGATGATAGTGGAAAAAAATTGTGAATCAATTTAAGTGAATCAAACATCAGCCAGTTCTGGAGAAAATAAGACACATGATTGAACTGATTACATGTTTGTCTAACTTGATGGTTATGAACACAACCTATTCTGTTATTCAATTCATAAGATTTTTCCCATAATTTGAATATATCTTGGTTGCATGTTTTCTGCAAAATTTATATACATTTATATCAAAATATGCAAAAGATACAAATAATCAAATAATCACAAAAAGAATCATTTGTCATATTCATTATCAGCAGTTGATATAGATGCCGCAAAGCTTTTTTCTTACATATATCCAAGAGTTACACTTTACATATCTTTTTGTAGTCCAAACATTTTGCTATCTAAATTATCTTTCTTCCATTAATTTTCCAAAAACAAGTTTAATGTCTCTATATTATGAATGAATAAAAATAAATGAACCACGTTTTTATCTTTGTAATATAGATAAGTTTTTTCAGATAAATGACTAACTTAAGAAAAAAACATCTGACATGTATAACCCATCCAATTATGGTAATTCAGTATCCTGATTGTCTAAAAAATAGGAGTAGATGAGAACACTGAACTTGATTAATTTTAGTAGGAATATTTTAATCATGAATTTCAAATAAATAACAAGATATTGGGTGAAAGGCTTTTCAATTGTGAAACAAAAGTATCCTATGCTCTTAAATCTTCCAGACTTTTTCCATGAAAGAGAGTTTAGTACTTTTGTGAAAATTAAACCAATAGTGTATGATTAGAAATAGCAGACAGAGGTACAAAGATAATGAAAATAGTGTCACTGAGAGAGATTTTAGTGTCTGTGTCTTCAGGCAGATGTGTTTTTATGTGAGATTAAAATATGTGTAACATTTATGTGACAGAAACTTTAAAGCAATTTCATTTAACTTTTGTGTTAACGTGATAGACAATTATACATTATCATTACTGTCATACAGATTAGGAAGAAACAGTTCTATAATATTAAATAAACTTCATGACAGCTGGGATCCAAATTATTGCATCTGCATATCACTCATATAGTAAGTGGAAATCAAGACAGTTTTACTTTCTCTTCTCTCTAGTGTTGGTGGAAAATATTAGCGTTATGAAGAGTTTTCATAGGGATCTCCAAAATAAGGCCTATATTGGAGACCGTTCTACATACACTTGAAAATTATATGTATTGTGGTGCTGTTGAACAGAGTATTCTACCATTAACAATTAGGTCAAGTTGGTTGCTACAATTTGTTTAAGTCTACTATCCTACTAATATTTTGTCTACTTCTTATGTCAACTACTGAGAGTGAGGTGTTGAAATCACTAATATAATTATAATTTGTTTATTTATCCTTCTAGTCCTATAAGGCTTTTGCTTCATTATAATTTATTTATTTCTCCTTCTAGTCCTTTGAGGTTTTTGCTTCATGTATTTCTTCTTCTAGTCCTGTGAGGTTTTTCTCATGTATTTGCTATTAAATGCATAAATGTTTAAGATGAATTTTGATGAATTTACCTTTTTGATGAATTTACCTCTTTATCATTTATGAAATGATTCTTTTTATTCCTGGTAATATTATTTGATCTGAAATCTACTTTTATCTGACATTAACAAACCCAGCCCATCTTTATCAGTTTAGCCTGATACAACTTTTGCCACTCTCTTTTTTAACCTATTTGTATCTAGATATTTAAAATTGTTTTTTGTAGGCAACATATAGTAGGGCCTTGCTTTTTCATTTTGAAAATCTATGCTTTTTAATTAGGTTGCTCAGATCATCTACAATTAATATATTTAATTTATATAATTGGATTTAAACCAACTGTATTGCAATTAATTTTCTGTTGTTTCTTATTTTCTGTTTGTTTGTTTGTTGTTTGTTTGAGGCAGGCTCCTGCTTTGTTGCCCAGGCTGCAGTACAGTGGTGCGATCATAGCTCACTGCAACCTCAACCTCTTGGGCTCAAGCAACCCTCCCACTTCAGACTCCTAAGTAGCTAGGACTACAGACATGCACCACCAGATAATTTTTAAATTTCATATAGAGACAGAGTCTTCCTATGTTGCCTAGGCTGGGCTTGAACTCCTGGCCTCAAGCAATCCTCCTGACTCAGCCTCCCAAAATACTGGAATTATAGGCATGCGCCACTGATTCTGGTCTCTGCCTTTTCTTGATGCCACTTTATTTTCTCTTTTTTCTGCTTTCCTTTGTGTTGAGCATTTTTTATGATTCATTTTTTTCTCCCCTGCTATCTAATTAACAACAACTTGTCCGCTATTTTGATTGCTTTAGGTTTTATAGCATGTATCTTTAACTTAACACATCCTATCTTTAACTGATAGTACTTAATGAATTCTGTAATAACTTTACAAATGAATACTTCTCTTTCTCCTTCTTGGCCCTTTGACTTGACTCTCATATATTTTACTTCCGTATATACCACAAACCACTTTAGTAGCCTCTACGGATTTCTTTTAATTTTCAAAGCTTAGCAATGGACTTTTTAAAATGTTATATTTTCTCCAGATATTTCAAGAAATTTTGCAATAGGTATTTTTATAGTACGTCTACTTTATTTCTACAAACACAAACACAAGAATTTTAAGTATATCAAAAAATAAGAAAATATGATACTCTAATCAATCCCAGTAGTCCTTGCTAAAAACACATACACAAAATGGAATTACTAAGAGGTTTTTGATGGGCAAATCCAGCTCCAATGTTCAGAAATGGTAATATGAAGTCATATATTAGATTGAGAACATACTATTTCAACAAGAAAAATTCAGACAAATGTGTTAATTTTAAAAGAACAGAACTATAGTCTTATTTATTAAACAGATAACTTAAGGAATTTCTGTATGACAGTTAAACAAGCTAATAACACAGCTTGTCCTCCCCCCCAAAAAAATGAACAAGTGAAGAAAGGAAAATCTAGGAATGAACATACATCTGTAGCACTCAAGTAACAAATAAAGAAGTAGAAAAATAGCCTTAAAACATGACCATTGAAAATTGCCATGTTAGTTATATAACAAATGTTCTAGAAAGTAGTGCAATAGCTACTCCCACCAACATTCCTTTTTCCTACTTCACAAAAACAAGGGTACAAAATTGAAAAGAAAAACTTATGAATACTTTCACTGTTTAAAGAGAGACAGAATGTGGAACAGAGAAGAGTATATAGGTCAAGATAAAATGAAAGAATGACTCATATAATGAAAGTCTTTACCCACTACTGTAATTGCCTACTAAAACTGGTAACACTTCCAATCTTCCATTTGCACCAACCTAATATTATGGATGCAATTGGTCACCCAAAGAGAAAAGGCACATAGCAATCCACATTTAATAGACTCTTTCTTTCCTGGGAATCAATAGAGTCATATTCAAATGTCAAGTTTTTGTCTATCTTTACCTTCATTTGATTGGGGCGGAAGTGAAAATAGATAATAAGGATATTTAAGTTGAGATTGAAGAAAAATGTGTGCCATTTTTTTTCTACCAGAAGTAATCCTTGAAATTTTCTTTTTCTGAATAGTTGTAGCAGTCTAAAACCAGACAATTACCTCTGCCAACGCAGTTGTATATCAAAAGCACCCAAACATGATGAATGGTACTACTTTAAATTCATGAATATTAATTTATTGAGCATTCCCTTAAGGGTGCCTGCAATAATGCCATATTGGTTTAGTTCTCTCAATTTCCACTTTCCTAGGTAACTACCTACATGTTCTTCTCTACTCTGAACTGTGCAACATCTCATCTCATTTTCATTCTTGGCTTATGACTTTTATTTTAATCTTATTTCATTGAGAAAATAGAAACAATTAGAAGACAACTTCTACATTTGCACACCATAATCCCTGTCAACATAGCAATGATGGCATCCTTACACGCTTCTTCTCCTGTTATTACTATGGATAAACTGTACTTTCTCTGATCTAAGGCAACCCTTCCATTTGATTACTAAATTCTGTCTCTGTGCATATCTTAGTCTCTTTTACTGCAATAAAAAAATACCTGAGACCGAGTAATTTGTAAACAACAGACATTTATTTCTCACAGTTCTGGAGGCTGGGAAATCCAAGATTAAAGTTTTGCCATTGGTGTCACATGGAAGTTGCTCTCTCCTCTTCCAAGATGGTGCCTTGATGCTATGTCATCATGAGGTCACCAATGCTGTGTCCTCAAATGGTGGAAGGCAGAAGGGAAAAAAGGACAAACAGTTCCCATGTACTTTTCTTATGAGATTATTAATCCCCTTCGTTAGGGCTCTGCCATCATGACTAAATCACTTATTCAAGGCTCTACCCCTTAATACTGTTGCATTGGAGATTCAGTTTCAACATACATGTTGGAAGAGGCACAAATATTCAAGACATAGCAGTGCCTAATAAAAAATTACTATCCATTCTCTTTTCAGAATCATCTATTTTTTCCCCTACTACACTCAAGAAGTGTTGTGCCTTGGAGCTGATCTAACTTGGCTTAAATTCTGGCTCTGCAACTTATTAGCAGTGTGAAATTGAACAAGTTAATTTGTTTCTCAGTTTTACCCATCTAGCTAAAGGGGAAGAAAATGATAGTGTCTACCTCATAAGTTTGTTGTCAGGACTAAATTGATTCATTCATAAATTCATAGGTCCTGGCACATTTTAAGTGCTACATATCTATTAATAGTATTTCATTAATATACAAGTTTTTGTGATATTTTCTATACAAAATATACATATAATCCACATTTTTTCACTTCTTTTAAAGAAAAAAAAAAAACTTCTTAAAAAATAGTCCACTAATGTGACCCTCCCATCTTATTACATTCTGTCCTCAACTTTTTAATTGTAAAGAAGAAAACTCCTACAGCCATTGTTAAATCTTTTCCTTTTTCCACACCGATATTTCACTCATGAAGAATTACTTTGGGCTGTATATTCAATACTCACTTCTTCAATTCCTCCCACTCTATTTCTCTTGAATCCATTCGAGTTGACTTTTTCTGGTACTATTCCACAAAAACCTATTTTTAAAGTTGATAAGAACTGTGTGTTGATAAATCTTATCATGAATTCTGAATTATCGTCTTATTTGACCTAACAGAAGCATTTAACACGGTTGCCCACACTTTCTTTTTGAAACTCTTCTCTTAACTTGCAATTTATCACTCCTGATTTTCTTTATTCTTCTTTAAACTAATCTATTATTTTTGCTTTCAGGCTGATGTTTTCTCAAATTTGTAATTTCTAAATTTTGGAGTTACTAGGACTCACCTCTTGAACCCCTTTTATACCTACGTTATCCATTCTTCTAGCTTTAATACTATCTATAGTGCTTACAACTTTCTATCTTCAGTTCAGGCTGAAGACCTGAACTCTTGACTCATTTACTCAACTGCTTCTCTCAAATCTTCTTGGGTATTTAAGAGATGTCTCAAACATAACATTTATAAAACCCAAGTCATGACACTTCCTCCCACCTTCATTCCCCAGACCTGTTCCTGTCACAGTCCTCTTAAAGCTACCACTGAATGTCTCTTTTATACAAAATATTGGGTCTTTTAGCAAATCTTGTAGGCTTAGAATCACTCACACTTTCTCCTACTGCTATAGCTAACATTGCTGTTCATCATAGTAATATTTCTCCTGTGGATTATTGCAGTGACCTCCTTTCTGATATCTTTGCTTCTCTCAATGCTCATTTGCAGACTATTCTCAATACAGCAGTCAGCGTACATTTTTAAAAACAGAATAAATCATGGCCTTCAGTTCAACACCCTCTGCTCAAGGATTAAAATTTTACTCAGAATAAAAGGTAAACTTCTTACAAGAACCTGGTAAGGCTGGGCATGTTGGCTCATGCCTGTAGTCCCAGCACTTTTGGGGGCTGAGGCAGGTGGATCACTTGAGGTCAGGAGTTCAAGACCAGCCTGGCCTGCATGACCAAACCCCATCTCTACTAAAAATACAAAAATTAGCCAGCTGTGGTGGCATGGTGTAGTTCCAGCTACTTGGGAGGCTGAGGCAGGAGTATCACTTGAATCTGGGAGGCAGAGATTGCAGTGAACAGAGACTGTGCTGCTGCACTCCAGCCTGGACAAACAAACAAACAAACCCCAGGAGTAATCCAACAAAGACCTGTGATACAGTCCTCAACTCTATCTTCAGTCTACTTCTCGCAATTCTGCTGCTTGTTCCACCTTTCCTTCCCTTTAGGTTTCTTTAATTTGTCAAGCACATTTCAGTTGCATCTTAGTATTTGGAGTTCTTTCTGCCTCCAGTAGTTGTCTGGATATCTTCATGTTTCACTTCTTCAATTTTTTTTATATTTTTGTTTAAATGTCACCTAATTAAATAGAACACCTCCACAAAACAGTAGTCTTTCCCCTCTGCCCTGCCTTCCCAATTTTCCTCTCCTCTCTATTTTTCTTCATAGAATTAATGACCTCTGGCATACTATGCATGATTTGCTTATTTTCTACACACTCACTGAAATGTAGACTCCAAAGAAACGATTTTCTTTTTACATTTTGTTTAATGTTATAATTCCATTATCTACAATAGGATACAGGTAGGTGCTCAAAAATATTAGTAGGATTAAAGATTAATAAGTGAATAATGTTCTCATTTTCTATCCCTTAAACTCAATAAATAAAGAATAAGTATAATTAACAAATAGAATCTTATTGATGTTTAAAAGAGCCTAATAATAAAAATGTAAATGTTGTAACTTAGGAGAGGAGAAAGAAAGATCAAAGATAGAAGCCGAATAATGTTACTACAACACCAAGATGGCAATGTCCTAATTCCACAATCTATGAATGTGACCTTACATGGTAAAAGGAACTTCACAAATGTGATTACACGATTCCCTAAATATTGAGAACTTTTTCTAGCAAAGGTCAAAAGAAGATATACCAATGGAAAAAGGGTCAGAGTTTCTGGCTTTGATGATGGAGGAAAGCGTTACTGCTTAAGGAATATGGGAAGTCTCTAGAAACAGGAAAGCAGCAAAATGGGTTCTCCTTTTAAAGTTAAAAAGTGACACAACCCTGTAGATACTTTTACTTTAGCCCCAAGAGACCCATCTCAGACTTCTGATCTACAGAATGACTGATAATAGATTTTTGTTGTTTGAATCTGTGTTAATTTGTTATAGCCACAGTAAATACCAATCAAATAGGATGAGATAAATTCATTAAGTAATAAACAGAAAAAAAGCAAAAATAAACATAAATTACAATGAGAAAGAAAATATAACAAATTTCATGTTAAACAATATATTGACATAATCACAAACACAGCAAAAGTTCATAGAATAATATTATTAGAGTACTTTTGAAACCTTATGAAAATCCATCTATATTACTTTCTACTAACTGTATAATTTTAATAGTGTTGATATATGCAGAAAATTAAAATAACCATATAAGTCTGGAAACTTCTTGAAATTATTCAAGAGTTTCCATAATCTGCCCCACATCAACACAGAAAACATCAAGCCTGGAGGCTTCAGTCATAAATAATATGTAGTATTCAAAGATTAGATAAATTCACTATTATTTAAACCATTCCAAACCACAGAAAAGCCTTAAAACTTATTTCAACCATAATAAAAGCAAAAATCTAAAACAAAATATTTGTCATGTTAATAAAACAAAGAAGAAAAAATATGCAATGTTAGCTGCAAAGTTATTTTTCCAAAATTTTAACCTTCTTCTTTAAGAAAGAAAAGAAGAAACTTTTAAAATCTGAATAATGTAAAATTCCTTTGAAAAGGCAAAAAAATCCAAAATAAATGTAAATGTGAAAAGCTATTACTTTACAAATGGTGATACACTATATGGCTTTTCTTTAAAGTCAGATACAAGAGATCAGTGACAAATATTGTATTATTCATTATTGATATTAAAGTATTAGGCAATACAAGTAAAATAGAAAATATGCAATTTAAAAGTTGAAAAAAATTCATACGTTCATTATTTATATATGGTAAGATTTCATAGTTGAAAGACCACCAAATCAGTTGAATGATGATTGAGAAAAATAATATGTCTAGTCACAAAAATAATTTATTTAATCAGTGGTTTGTCTATGTAGAAGCAGCTGCAAGTTAGAAAACATACTGGATAAGTAGATTACATTTTAGGCATAAATTGAAGTGATAAATATACCTAAATATAACTTTCATAAAAATGGGCTGGAAATATGTGGAGAAAAAGGTAAAATTTGTCTTAGGTGTATAAAGAAGGCTTCTTTAGCATAGGTAATTGGATATTGTTGTTCTCTTAATTTACATGATTATTCCTAAAGCAAATCCTTTCCCAGAAGAACATTAGGTAAAAGCTTACTTTAATCACAGACTCCAAATCTCCAAGACCTGAAAATGGTTTATTTGAGGATGAAAAACCTTCTGAAGGTGTTTGTGACTGAGGATTTGAGCATTACCTTGCATTAAATGTAATAGGGGATTAGTCCTTGATGCCTTTCTCAGCATACATTGTTGACAATAGCCAGTCATGCCCAGGAAAGTGAGCGCTCATATAACTGTAGTTGACCTGGCAATTTTGAGGATAACCCTCACTCAGGAAGAAGACGGGCATGCTCTCCTGCAGAGCAATTCTGCCCTAAGTAAAACATTCAGGATACACATAACTGTTGTAACTCTTGAGAAGGCTTGTGATCTCTGTGTGCTAAAAATGAAATAAAATTATAGACTCTCTTTTAATGCTAGTATTGAGGAGACAGCTAGTAAAGGTCACTGATATATTGAATAAAAGTCACAATATTCAGGAAACGTAGATTCATGCAATGTTCTAAGAATTTGAAATAATAAAGAAACTTTCAGGGTAACCTTAAAGAATTCTAATCAAAGATACTGGAGAACATGAAATGGAAAAGAACATGAGAGACCACAAAGATTAATGAATATAAAAAGAAGGTAGTATATAATGCTACCACTTAGTGGGACTGCATTTTATTAAAAATATGTAGGTAAGTTCGTTTCAGTGGGAAAAAAGGAAAAAATTACAACAATTATTTTATCGTGTCTGGCACAAATCCATGTTTCTTTAATGAGATGTGTACTTTTCTACGATTTTGTATAGAAAGGCTATTGGAAAAATTGAGAAGTGTTTTAGTTGAATTCAGCATTGTCTTAACTGGGTAAATATGTTGAATAAATATGAATTTGTTACGAGTTGAGAACAAAAATGGACAACAGAGAAAAAATATGTATTTTGTATTTGTGAGAGAGTAGATTTTGATTCTTACAAGCGATTAAGGCAGAGTGATCTCACATTTCTACTAAGCAGAGAACTCTAAATAGACTGTATCTGAGGGAAAATATATAACATACCTAAACTTAAAAAAAGAGGTTTTATTTTATTATAAATAAGGGAGAAGTAATTCTGTACCTGCATATCAATCTAAAATAGAAACTCCTGTCTCCCCCAACAACAACAAAAAATCGGTACAGATGTAAAAACCAGTAAGACTTTTAGGGGATCCAACTCTTGAGCTCTGTGATAATGAGCTTTTAACCTTAGATACTACTTAAGCATGCTAAATACATAAATACCAATATGATCTAGTGGCAATAATTGAAATAATTGAGCATAAATGTTAATAAAGTTTTCCCACACTGCCCTAAAAAGAGAAAGCGCTTGTTGTGCATTTTGGGCATAATTCTAATCTCAGGTCAGACATTGGAAAGGTTTTGATATAAGGTTGATTGTCTTGATTTTTTTAATGTATATCTTTCTTCTCAGAGAATCCATAGCTTATTACATAAAAGACTTTGTAAAAATTCTCTACATTTACATGGATTTTGTTCTGTAGTTCAACCTCTATAAACTCTCTGTTTACTTCCTAAAATTTGAAAGCTTTTGATTTATAAAACCTAAGTTACCTTTTCTTATCTTGGCAATTTTTGCAAATACTAATCAGCTACCATAGTAAGTTCAGTTAATGTTTTTGTCTACCAAACAATACAAGTGGATCACATTTTTTATTACATTTTAGCAAGTAAAACACAACAAAAGCAGCCAACGCTGCTTCTAGAGCAATTTCAGAGGCATTTTCTGTACCTAAGTGTTTATGAGAAACACTTTCCATTTAGTCAGATATTTTTTTTTTAATTTTGCTTGCAGATATAATTGTCACAGGTATTAGTCAACTAAACTCTGTTGATACTCCACACAGTCTATTCTTTTTTTTTTTTTTTTTTTTTTTTTTGACAGTCTCGCTCTGTCGCCCAGCCTGGAGTGCAGTGGCACGATCTCGGCTCACTGCAATCTCCGCCTCCCGGGTTCACGCCATTCTCCTGCCTCAGCCTCAGCTGGGACTACAGGCGCCCGCCACCACGCCTGGATAATTTTTTGTATTTTTAGTAGAGACTGGGTTTCACCATGTTAGCCATGATGGTTTCGATCTCCTGACCTTGTGATCCACCCGCCTCAGCCTCCCACAGTGCTAGGATTACAGGCCTGAGCCACCGCGCCCGGCCCACATAGTCTATTGTTTATGGCACATCCAGCAATAATCCCTAGCCTTGTTGAGTTCCAGTTTTAGTAACAGGATCTTCAATGAGCTACTTTCCCTCTTTTGCCACGCTTTCTAAATACAAGGATCTTTATTGTATAAATACATTGATTTCTGCCCATCTAGAATTATAAAATTCTATGTAATGTCCATTAAAGTTGCTTTTATATTTTTGCATCTCCTCAGAGTAGTAATTCTTTTATTGAATGCCTGAGATGATGTTTCTACATAAAACATATGTGTATTATGGCAATATTGTTCTCAACTAGGCAAGAGTGTCTTCTTAAAGATATTTGAATGATTTCAGTGTTTGGAAGTTATAATAACAAGCTTTGCTTTAAACTATAGATGGCAATTGAAATAAGTATTACATGAATCAAAAGCATCAATAAAAAATGAGAGAGGCATATATCTTCCAAATGAAGAGTAATTCAGTCCACTCAAGGATGCTTATGTTTGAATAGGGCAATAAAGCCCTTTCAACATGGCTTGTATATTAATATCATTGTTATCAGATGTAGGAATTAAATTTAAAAGTATTGATTAATGTGTAGAGAATAAGCATAATTAATGTGTTTTAATATATTTTATATCCTAATAACATAGCATAACCATTATTTTCAAGTATCTGTAAATGGCCTAGTTTATGTTCACCATTAGCCTAATCAATTATAGACATAACACCAAATCTTTTAGTAAAAACCCACTGCCAGGATTCCAAAAGTGTGGGAAGAAGGAGCTCCAAATGAAAGAAGAGTAATAATATGCTAATAAATCTTTAGCAGCCAGCTCCTTAAAACAAAACCAAGCAAAACAACCAATCAAAACAACCACCAAAAATATATACCATTAACAGATTTCCATGGTGTAAATATTTTCTTTGTGGCCAATTTCAAGCTGCCATTGGTATATCATTAAAAACGAAACTGTTAAGAGAAATGCATCATTGAGTTGTATGAGGTGGCTTCAAAACAACACTGGAAAGCTTAAACAGTGAG
Source organism: Homo sapiens (assembly GCF_000001405.40). NCBI lineage: Eukaryota > Metazoa > Chordata > Mammalia > Primates > Hominidae > Homo > Homo sapiens. The sequence goes on along the minus strand of NW_019805491.1, from coordinate 17,508 downwards.
CAGAGAATCCCCAAAAAATGTCTACAATTAGTAGACTCCATGATGGCAGGGGAATTGACTGTCCTGACCATAGCAAGCTGCTGCTTCTCATATGTATGTGCTCAATAAATAGCTACTAAATAAATGTATGTCCCAAATGAGCAACAGTAATTCTTGAGCTCGTGAAATCACATTTAGTATACTTTATTCACTTCCGGATTATACAATTTGATAGGGATATAGACAAATAAGAAAATGCATCAGAGGATAGCGATTAAAACATGGATACATAGTAATAGTATTTCACAAAGGGAATATCTGAAACAAATAAGGTTTTGCCTATATAAATTGAAACTTTGAATTTATAGGACAACGATATTCAAATATTTGAAGTATCATTTTGAGAGACATTTGATTTTCCAATGGTATGACTTTAAAAAATAGAAATAAGTAAAAGGAGACTATACGTAGATATAATTTAGCTGACTATGAAGATGATTTTTTTAACAATTTGAAATTTTCAAAGACATAGTAAAACTCTATAGCAATTAAGGAACCCATTAGCATTGGTCCAAGAAGGAGAAGAATTTTGTTAAAAATCTTATTCTGGAAATCCAAATGCCTAGTAGAAGGTTAGACTGCATAATCCCAAAGTCTTTGGCAGTGTCTAGATTTTATGATGATGTGTAAATAAATCCCACGGCAGAGAGAAGTAGGCACTCATTCTGATCCCAAAATAAATGCTTTCTGTATGTTATTATACAATCTCCCCAAAGGTGAAACTACTCCACTGTTACGCAGATGGAGAGAAAATTCTCCACTTGTGACTCAAGGGAAGTCTGCTTAATTTGGTTTCTCAGATATCATGTTTCAACAGCATTTAGAAAAAATGAATATTATATTTATGTAATGTGAGTAGAAAACATGCCTCCTTTTAGGATTACTATATGAAAGTATTCCTTTTTGTCACAAAATAAAAATATTCTCTACCCATATACAACGGAACATATATATGTATATGAAATGTGAATAATTTTTTTTCAAGTTACTTCAAATATGTTTAGAGAGAAGAAACATATCTAAGACCAAAACTTTTATGAGTGCACCTTCACCTCATGTTTCCTAATGGGGATATATATATTTTTCCCTAGTTTATATATTATGGCATTCTTTTTTACCCTACCCTGGGAAAATGCTATGTTGCTCAGTTTTTGTTTCTCTAAGTAAAATACATTCATTGTACTGATTTTCATCTTTTTAAACATGTTTTGCCAACTAAATGATCATTTTTAAGCCTTTAATAATAACTAATTTTTTGGCAGGCATTTAATACTTTGGGCTGTCAATATTGTCACCTAAAAATGGAAGAGATTAAATTAAAAGAATCTAAGAACACTTTTATTTCTATAATCCTTATTCTCCAAGAAAATTATTGCAATACTTCTTTATAAGTGTGGTTTGAGCTGTTACTTTGTATCAAACTGTAAATTAGGCACTGGTGACAGAAAGGAATAAACCCTGAGGCACAGGGATTGGTAAACAGGCATAAACATCTAAAGCGTTGTTAAAACATATGCTCACCTGTGCTCAAGTTACAGTGTGGGTACAAGGGCACAGTGATTTGCTCCATCAAGAGGACGGCATAGAGGGGATGCATTACAGGGAAAGTAATATTTGAGTAGTTTATGAAAGAGGAGTAAAAGTCACAAAAGGCTCACCATTTGTTGCCTTTTAAAACAAATCAATATACTTAATGCATATATAGAAGGCATAGTTATATAAATACTTCATATGGTTCCACCTTACATGTTTAAATTATTTACAATACCCTTAAGGGTCATTTACTTTCAAAAGGATAAATAAATATGAAGATATCTGAAGATCATATAGTAGTTCATATAAGTATTCTTGTGGTAGTTCTTCTAAATCTAGAATTTCACTAAATTGTAGGACTAATTACCTCCACTCCAATCAAGTATAATATAATTTTTGCAGGGGCTATCAGTTATCAAATATGCCTAAGAAAATCATGTAAAGAAAAATGTCCAAAGATTACCAAATTCAAGGTCTTTGTCTATGAATAGAGAAACCTGAAAGTGATAAAAATATCCTAGGATTAAAAAGTAGTGTTCACAACTTGTCTAGTTGAAGCTAAAAAACATCTACCTCATCTTAGTTTACTTGAGCTTCCACCTTTATTAAAACGTCAGGACAACTTCCTTCCAAAAATATATTCCCTTCCCTGTTCAGTCCATGTTTCTTTGCACCGCCAGCCTTTCTATCAGTTCTGCTGATATTACTTTGTCAAGAAAACTGCTATATGTCGGTGCATCTCCAATTTCTGTTTCAGGACTTCTACTCTAACACATACCAACACACCCTCAGGTCATCTCCTCCTTCTCATAACTTCAGTTATGAGGTGAGAAATTGGAACTCTAAGCCATACTTTCCTGTCTACATCTTCTTTTCAATCTGTCACATAGTCAAAGATTTCACAAAACATCATATTCTTCCCCACAAAGTGCTCATCTTCATTCCTTTTTTTTTTTTTTTTTGAGACTGAGTCTCACTCTGTCGCCCAGGCTGGAGTACAGGGTCACGATCTCAGCTCACTGCAACCTCCACCTCCCAGGTTCAAGCGATTCTCCTGCCTCAGCCTCCTGAGTAGCTGGGACTACAGGCGTGCACCACCACACCAGGCTAATTTTTGTATTTTTAGTAGAGACGGGGTTTCACCATGTTGGCCAGTCTGGTCTCGAACTCCTGACCTAAAGTTATCCCCCTGCCTCAGCCTCCCAAAGTGTTGGGATCACAGGAGTGAGGCACCACACCCAGACGATTTATTTTTTATATCAGAAAAGAGTGCATGCATGTAATATACATCAAGGTGTAAGGGCAATATTCTTATCTTTTCTCAAATCCTCAACCTCTTATATCCCCAATCTACTTTCAAAGTAGATATTGTTTTCATGTTTAGTGCCCTCCATCTCCACAGACCACCCATGAGTCCAGGCCACAGTGTTCTTTGAGTGTTGTAGAATCCTCCAGGTGTGTATCATGGTCATACTAATCAGTCTCTTACTGCTCTCATACCTACTGTTCTGCCTGCAAAAAAAGTACTTAAAAAATACTTATACCTCACTTCTGCTTAATTCAACATTCTAGTATTTGTGCTTCCACTTTCAGCTTTCCCGAGCCATGCCACTTCCCAAACTATAATTATTTTGACTTTAGCATTCTTCACTTTTACTTTGAAGCACTTAAAAAACCTGTAATTTTTTATTTAATAAATATATTTTCTCTAAAGTGTACCTGAACCTGAAACATCCTATAAGAGTTATGCTAAGTTTTAAAGTAGACAGATAATCATTTCTATATAAACATGATGCCTTATACATCTCATATTTTAAATATGCAAAATTTTATATACATATATATATATATATATATATATATATATAATTATAATGTTTCTAGAGACCAAGGGAAAATTTCCTCTTTGCCCTCTGAAAGTTTGCTGAAAATTACTGAGAAGAAGCAGATTAATAGGAGAAAAGGCATGCCAATTTATATATCACCATTTTACATTACATGAAAGCCTTCTGAATGAGGACCTTAAGATACAGGAAAAAAAATGTTCATTTTTATGCTTAGGTTCAAAAAGTATGAACAGCCAAGTAGAAAGACAATTGGACAAAAAGGTTATGATTTAATGCTAAAAGACTGTTGGAATCTGCCTGACCTGTCCAGATTCCTCTTGGCCTCTCTGTGAAGCATTCCTTCTTTTTTGGTGTGCGACATCTATCTCTGGAATGTGGGTGTTCTGACATACCGTCAAAAAAGGTAAGTCAGATCATTTCTTTATGGCAGTTTTTAACAAAAAGGAGTGGAAAAAGTTAGAGTAATTTTAAACATTTAATCCTGGCTTCTTGGAAAAAGGGTTCTGGTTTCTCTGACCCACTTTGGTTAAGAGAAATTCTAGTTTCTATGGCTATCCTCGAGGGAAACTGAGAGGCCAGAGATAGCAGGACAGGAGAAAGTCAGAGAGAGTTGCTTCTGAGGCCTTCATTCTGGAGTATCATTTTCTGAGATCCTTCATATCATATGTATATTATTTACATATATAATTAGCATGTTTATTTTTTCTCTTCAAAGTATATGAGAATCATTCTATTAGAACATATGCAAAAATATTTAGATTTTTTCTGTATACTGCAAGTGACTTGAATGATGAGAGAGAGAGAGAGAGAGATACGAAGTGGGGGACCAGGGAGGGAGGTAGTAAGAAGGAAAGGAGACAGTCTTTGCAATTTTTAATTTTCAGAAAAAAATAACAGTAGTAAAAATGAAAATTTTATATGTCAGAGAACTGCTGTGATGATACCATGCTGAAGTGTTAGTTTTACTTGTTAGAACAGTTTAAATCAGTCTCACAGCAATAATGGTTAAAACATAGTTGCTTGTAACAGCCTCCTAGCAGAAATTCACATGTGAGATGACACATTATCTTCCCCAGAAATTTGTCTTCAACCCAACAAATTTCAGCTGTTTAATGAATGATATTTAATATATATTGATCCAAAATGGACATCTCAGAGAATAATGGAGTGAAGAAGTAACGCAATAATAATAGATGACTCAAAACCAAGAAACACTTTTTAACTGAAATATTGAATGATAGAGATAAGGTTTTTTTATTCGCTAAAACTAGCCAGAAGTTATTAATTCTTAATTCCCTTGGAAATAGAAAAGGCTGGATATTCATCCACAGAGAAAAATGTTTGTGGATTTGGTACCTGAATTAGCTGTTTGAAGCCTAATACATGATAGGCACACTAGACATTTCTTAGTACCTTCTGGACTTAAGTAATTAATATACCTTTCCGAAATCCTAAGTATGCTCTTAAAGAATAGGCTTTTTTCAGTCTAACATTTGCAAAAGAAATATTAAAAACATAATTTCTAGCTTCTAGAAATTTTAAATTTGAATATAGCCATATGTGTAATATCCTCTCACATTTTTTTCTCTTTTTTAATTTATAATTTTTCTTTAAAATATCTATGAGCAAATTGAAAGCCAAAAGAGAGAAAAGTGGAAGATGGAAGGTAAGGTGGCTTGTAATGAATAAATCTTATTAATCATATCTACCAGATTATGTTATATCTCTTTTAGCATGAGTATTTACATGGCAATGAACTATACCATCGGGTTCATTCTAGGATCCTTTGCTTGGTATTTGACATGAAGCTGTTAGGGAGATAGAAATGCGAAAAGATGACAAAAGTTTTCTATAACATTACATATATCGTCAACTTGAAACTAAGAATTTTACAGGGGAAAAATATCTCAGAACTCCAGTGCTAAATCATTTTGAATTAGAGTGTAATTTTGCCATACAAAAAATACAACTTCAGCATAAAATCTCCATGCACATAGGTCTTATGCAGCTATATAGAAATCCAATACAAATTTGGCCGGGCGCGGTGGCTCACGCCTGTAATCCCAACACTCTGGGAGGCAGAGGCGGGCAGATCACAAGGTCAGAGATCGAGACCATCCTGGCTAACACGGTGAAACCCCGTCTCTACTAAAAATACAAAAAATTAGCCAGGCGTGGCAGCGTGCGCCTGTAGTCCCAGCTACTCAGGAGGCTGAGGCAGGAAGATGGCCTGAACCCGGGAGGCGGAGCTTGCAGTGAGCCGACATCTCGCCCCTGCACTCCAGGTTGGGAGACAAAAGCCAGACTCTGTCTCAAAAAAAAAAAAAAGAAATCCAATACAAATTTAAAATTTAAAATTATACAATTTTAGTGAAAATCAGATGAATAATTCAATTATAACGAGATAGATGATGCTGTTTTGGTAAAGCTAACTTGCACCTCAAAATGTGAATAATATTCAGACAACCACTACAGTATGTGTACCTATCTACACACAATCAGTTTTGCTGTAATGCTAGTTATAAAATTGCAGATTTGTTCCAAAGTGAATGATTTATTAGGGAACGACTTAAGCATAACACAAATACTGTGCTTGCTTATGAATGGTATCTTCCATGAGAAAGTACATGAATGCGGAAAACTGCAACTGAGTGAACTGAGTTCAGTAGGAATACACAAAACACACACACTTCAAACATCTCCCAGCCTCCTCAGTCCATCTCATTTGATGTGAGCCACACCCATTCATATCTAGTGTGACAACTTTTCACGGGATTTCAGATAACCCTCTAAATTCACAAATACAACTGTGACTCCAGTGAGTACTTGACTAAAAAATAATTAACATAATGATTAAAATCACTTAATCACTACCTTAGTTATTAATTTTTTTAGATTGTCTTCCAAATTTAAAAGCAATAGAAAAATTCCCCAAATTCTCAAATTTGACAAGCCATTGTCTTGCAGACACTAAAGTGACCTGGATTTCAGAAACACTCCATTGCATTTCCAAAGCATGACTTAGTACCAAAAGAAGCAAACCATCCATATGATTCTAACTGCATTTTCAGATTAACCATGTACATAGAGCTATAAATGACGTCTCCTTCTCCAAATCTCCTCCTTGTCAGCCCCACAATTAGAAACATCACTAACTTCCTAGTCTTAGATAGACTCATTTTATCTGGCTCATCTAAGTCCTTTATTTGAGCTGTGGTCATTATATCTTTTTTAAAAAAATTCTTCTTTATAAGCCCTCCTTTCTTCTACTTATGAATCTGATAAGTAGCAATATGCCTCAGGGGTTTGGACACTTCTGCAGTGTGTGGTGCTATATATAATCTGGACTCCTGTGATTGAACAGGTTTATAAACTCAAAAGTTCCTCAGCACTTTCAGGCAAAAATACTTACGCTTGAAAGTAATTGGTGCAATTTTGTTCACCTCAAGTAGCCCAGAGGTACTTGGTGCTTATGAGAATAGTTTATGTTTTACCAGAAGATAACCTGTCCAGGGAGGAGTGACACAATCAGAACAGAAGGAAATTGTTTGTTTATTTGTTTGTTTGTTTGTTTTTTCTACGATAATTTGAACGGATTGGGAAAAAGCCCAATGCAATAGTCTGAGAAAAGTATTTCCTTAGGAATCAAGAAATAAGATCACCAGGTTAAAAGTTTAGATCAAAAAACGAGATGGAAGGCACCATCTCGTGTTGTTTCGAGCCCTGTAGCACAATGACAATGGCTGCAATGGAGATTAAAAGTATAAAGATATATTTTCAATAATACTGTCAATATGCTGCTAGAAATTCTCCCAATAATAGTTGTTTAAAAGTCCCTAATATTCCCATGTGCAAATGCAGTTGTTTCTAAGATGATTTAATTGGCATTAGGTACTAAACCTATAAGTCAATGTCACTCAGGGTAGAAGAGGTAAATAAACATCCATTTTAAAACATAGCTTTCAAGCCAGATAATTACTTAAAACATTTCTGTAAACAGACATTAATCAAAGAAAAAAAAAGTTCCATAAAAATCTATTCCTGAAATAGGGGTTTGATATCTAATTTTAGGTTCCTTTTCAGTATTCTTTACCACAGAAAATTCAATCTTATCTATAACAAAGTGATGCAATGTTTAAATAATTATAACAGAAAACTAGAAATTTTTATTTTTAATTCCTAAAATAAATTGTACAATGTCCAAATAAATTATTTGTGACAACTTAATAATATAAAAAGCAATTGTGATGGAAGTTATTAAATAGTAATGGATGGTACCTAAGCATGGCAATAATAGCACTCATCACAGGTCACTACTACAGCAAATTATCAGAAAGAGACTTAAATAGGACCAGACACCTAAATCACTCAATTTACCACCCATCAGCCTGTAGCAGGAAGATTTTCATCACAAATTCCTATGAAGTAAGCCAACCATAACTTATTTTTCTTTGGCCCATACAGACTTAGGCATCAAAGTATACTATAGTGTTGTTTCGTGGAGCCTCATAGCATAGGCCTGGGACAAATAAACTCTAAAATACAAATATTAAGATATTTCGCCCATCAGAAAACATACATATATTTTCATTTCCAAAAGATATTGGGGCTGGGTGCGGTGGCTCACTCCTGTAATCCCAGTGATTTGGGAGGCCAAGGTGGGTGGATCACCTGAGTTGAGGTCAGGAGTTCAAGACCAGCCTGGTCAACATGGTGAAACTCCATCTCTACTAAAAATATAAAAATCAGTTAGGCATAGGAACGCATGCCTGTAGTCCCAGCTACTCAGGAGGGTGAGGCAAGTGAATCGCTTGAACCTGGGAGACAGAGGTTGCAGTGAGCCAAGATTGTGCCACTGCACTCCAGCCTGGGCAACAGAGAAAGACTCCATTACTATGGACTTTTTCAAAGCAAAAGATAATAGAAGGTCAAAGGGTGAGAAGTACTTTTTGTTTTACCAAAATAATATATGCATGTGTGCGTATACAATTGCATGTCTTGCTTGATCTGCACAGCAATAGCTGTGACAGAGCCGGGTCTCACCTGTGTTTATATTCACATTCCCTTGTCTCTCTTATTAATCATTTTTCTTCTTTCTTCTCATGTTAATTAGTAATGATTTAAATATCTATTTAAAAAGGTAACCGTGTGCATGCATGTGTAGGTGTGTGTGCGTGTGTGTGTGTGTTTTAGAGACAGGGTCTTGCTCTGTTACCCAGGCTGGAGTGCAGTGTAACATTATGTTTTACACATTATTTTAAAAACTGTTTACTTCCAAGTGTAATGTTTTCAACCATGGAAAGCCAATTCTATATTTTGTATCATTTTAGATTGTTATAGTTCAGTACGTAAGGAAGCCTCAATCAAGGAGTTTAATTAATGTGTCGCTAGTTACAGTGAAGACTGTGGTGCTGATTAGGAGTTCACAACTAGTATTAGGTAAAAGGTGAATTCAGGTTGAATCAGAGGAGACTCCACAAACAATGAGAATGCTGGGGAAAAGAGGGAACATGATTCTTTATGCTGTTCATTACTCTCAGGATATCCCAGCACTGAAGCTGTGCTGGCGGCTTCAGTGATCAGAAAATGTTAAACTTATTAGAAGTCAAGCAGAAGCAATAGCACAGCTTTAATCAAAATGCCTAGCTTGCATGGGATCTGGCAGTAAATTTCAACAGGGTCTTATCAAACATGTTGTCACTGTCAAATTATTCTGTAGCCACTTCGCATTCACTTCAGCTTTTCTTGGAAGCAGAGTAGCATGGATTCCAATAAAACCAGCCCAGGCCTCTTGTTCAGAATGACTGTCAAGGTGAGCTGGGAAGGTAAAAATAATTCTCTCTCCCTCTCTCTCTCTCACACACACACACACACACACACATACACACACACAGCTGAGGGCCTCCTCCTGGTTTGAAGTAGTCATAGTAACATGTCAGGCAATTCACAGTGTCCATGTGTAGATAGAGAAGAAAAAAAATCACACTGTGAAACAGAAAGCGAGACAGGTCATTGAATTTTTGAGGGTGATGTATAATACAACAACAAAAACAAACAAACAAAACAGAGCCTTGTAGTTAAATGGGATCTTGGACATTATCTGAGTTTACTTTAATTTTATGGAAATAAATTTAAGCCTCTGGAAGGTTAGATGACATCTCTAATGTCACAGAGGCACCAAGAGTTGTTTTAATTTCTAATAATTCTCAGTATGTGACTCAATGAAAGGAAGTCTTAGGTTCAAACTTTTAAACAGATTGATCTGATACCTATATAATAATAACACTAAAGAGATTTTGTAACAAGCTTCTTGTCATTAACAAACATACTAGTGCTTCCTGTTAAATTTTATTAATGTATTGGAAAACAAAACAAATTTTAGTTCTTTCCACGTGGAAGCATGTAGAATTCATTTTTGAAGAAATGTTTAATTTAAAGAAAATTTTAAAGTTAATTGGAGCCCAAGGTAAAAAAGAATAAGAAAAATGTGTAATTTTTATGAGTTTAATTTTCAATACAATCTTTTCAAATGTAACATAGATTACCTGAAGTCTGACTACTTAAAATATTGGAAAATATAGATATCTTTTTTTCAAAAAAAAAGAAGTAATTGCTAATTTGTATTTGAAGCTGAATGGATACTGCAGTTTTTTATTTAACTTATCTTTGTATTTTGATTTCTAGACATTTTAATGAAATTTCTAATAGAAAGAATGTAACCAGAACTAAATTATGTTTTTTTAAATGACATATTGTATACCTAACTTTCATTTTCTCATTCAGATGTCAAATTTATTGATTTTACATTGCCTTCTACTTATGTTGTTAAAATTCTAGTTTTGACCAACTACGGTTGTGATGTTTTACTCAGATTCTTTTTACTTTTATATTATTTACAATTATATCCAAAATAATGTCATGTGCAAACCTAATGGTAACCTTGTCATTATTAGTTACTTTTGTATTTGCCACTATTTAACTCCTTATTTGAAGCAATAGCAGTAATCATATTCCTTGTATACAGTCATACAATAAATATGGTACACACTGATGTCTAAGTCATAATTGATATGGAGCATTGATTCTTAAAGAACAAGATAAAGCTTAACAAAAAGTGAGTTCTGCAGATAACTGTAACTAAGAAAAGAAAGAATAAAAATATTTTGCACAAAATAGCACAAACAGTAGTAAAATTAAAAATACAAAGGATCAGGAGAAAATAGAATCATGAATTCCCGGGAAGGAATTAAGGGTAAAGCATCATAAGTGGAGAAATCAGCCAATAGATAAATCACCTAAGTTGTGGTTACAGATAGACATTCATACTGGATTTAGAAAAGATAGTTTGTAATACCAGTCAGAATAATTTGAGAGAAAAAGAAAGATGGAAATTGTATTGTAAAGAATGCCAAAAGGAATCAAAGTCAAAAATGAATACATATGTATGAGTGCATGTATATGTAAATATTTTAAAATCTACATCTAGAATTTTCAGCCATTTTATCAACACTACCTTCTCTGCTTCCTCCAAATTTATTGAGACCCAATGTCTTATTGAAACTGATCAGTTAACTGATGGTGGCAGTAACTTCACTCTTGAAGTGATTACATTTACTGTTTCATTAAAGTTGAAATGTGGAACATAGTCTCACATTTTTCATAAGGTGATCTGGCTACTCTTTTAATGCTCTGCTTTCCCTTCCGTTTGCTTCTTACTAGTAATGGTGCTTTTGGGAGGGCAAATGTGGACTATTGGCATAGCTTCAGAGTTCCTGAACCACACAGGCTCTGTCTCCTATTATCAGGTAGATAATAGAAGTTACTGGTACCATCACCTGCACCAAGTCAGGTCTCCATCCACATCACCACACACAACAAATGTCCTACTAGAACTAATCATATCTGACAGATGTTTAAAGAAAATTAATTTAATCAAGAAACTGATATTTTGGTTAAATCAATCACTTTTAATTTTTTTAACCCTTCTGGGAAAGGGGTTTTATAGCAAAGAAGCTGTCAGGCCTTGTTAATCCACAATTAGTCCCTCTACATACCTCCAAGTCTGGCTCTAAAAGGTCCTTAAATGCAAAGTACTGGAAAACAGTGCATAAGAATTTAATATTTCACTGAAAGTTCAAAATTAGCTTAGCTGAATATTTACAAACATATCAGTGTTGAACTATAAGTTTTCCTTACTATGTATAGCAAAAACAAATAAATATCTGGATGTTCGTTGAGTGTCACTATGAAAAACTGGCAGCAAACAAAAATTTTAGAGACATTAGATAGCCAAAAGATTAGATGTAAAAAGGTTGTTAAAAAAAAAATGTGAAATGATACTGTCAAGGCTGTCTCCCCAGATTCTTTTTTTATCAAATTCATTTTGTTACCGACAGCACCAAAAAGAAAGGCATATTTCTAGTCTCTCTGAATCAGGACTGTGTATTTAGTTGGATCATATGTTACCTGTCAAACTACAAACCTGTTCAATTGTGATCTAAAGCTTCACATAGAAATTCTATCAAGGAGTCATCTAATAACACAGTCTTTATTTGAAATAGGCTTTCAGGACCTGGCCTCAAACTAACTCAGTTACAAATATACAGAAGCCTGTTTCTGCCGTGAAAATCAAGTCCATTGTTGTTGTTCAGTAACTTCTGAATCCCTTCACTGAAGCTCTACCACCAGTTTTTAATACAAAATTTATCTGTCTTCTTTTGAATCCATGAATTATTTCAGATTCAGTGCACAGTAAACAATCCACAAATGAAACCAGCTTTTTATATTTAAGCCATAGTTCCAGTTACTTGTGTGAAATCTTTCAGAATTATTTTATGAAGAGGGCTCAAAAATATTTGTATTTTCTGTTTGTAAATGGTCTAAGAGTCACTCATTTTAACCATACAAAGGCAAAGAAAATTTGATTTCCATGTCCTTTTTAATGTCTACAAATTTGTACATGTATAGCATTGTTCTCAGTGCTATTCTAAATGCTTAATATTTAAATATATTACAGTTTCATTATAATATATTTTCATTTGAACCAAATTCCTTGTGAAGATATGGGAAATTCAAAATCCTTTAACTAAGAAGCAAGCTCGTTATCACCTGAATCAAATTCCTTGTGAAGATATGGGAAATTCAAAAACCTTTAACTAAGAAGGAAGCTTGTTACCACTTGAATTCTTGTGGGGCTGTGATCAATGCTGGTCATTATAGAACTAATGATGATGGATCAATTGATGGTAGCATTTCTGAGAAAACACAAACCTTGGCAAAAGAATGTATTATGGGCAGTCACTTTTTCACTCACCCAGGCAATGTAGTGTAAAGACAGTATAAAACTCATAGGGAATAAAAGACAGATGCTACCCAGGTCTACAGAGAGGAGCTTCTAGATTAGAAAACTCCCACTTAGAAAATACTATCTGACTTAATCTGGTTTGTTTACAGAATGTGATAACCGTTATATTGAAACATTTAAAAAAATCTAATTTAATTGAGAATTATTTTATTTATTTACATAGACCATAAAATATACTAAGTATTTTTTTCACTACTGTTTATGAGAATTAAAAGGCTAAAAAGATGTTATGCAATTTGTATAAAATTATAGAATTAATAAGGGGTATAGTTGTGATTTGAACCCAGATTTATGTGGCCTTAGAGTAAATTGTTTTCCAGCTATGACAATGGAATAGCCTCATATAGTTAGTTAAACAGAATACTTGGGTAATGAAATGTTTCTGCAGTGTATATAATGGCAAATCAATAATTGGAAAGGCTCAGAAAATTGCTAAAAATATGTTCAAATCACATGCACAAGCCCTAGTGAATAGATGAGAATTACATAAACAGTATATGCATTTATTGTTTGAACTCATAAAATGGGCTTATAAGAAAAACCTTTTAGATAATCAATTCAATTTGTGAATTCATGTAACCAAAACACTTTTCTTGAACTCTAACAGAATGAAGACTTATAAACCTGATTAGTCATTTTCAGCAGGTAAAAATCTTACATTCATGGGGCACCTAGATTCCAAAGGCCAAACATCAAAATGGCACTAGGTATATAATAAGTTCAATACAAAAAATATATTAATTTAAAGGCTTTTTAAAACTATATTACTTTATACTTAAGTCCATTCTTAATATACAGTTTGAAAAGAATATGCTAACAACATCACAACAATTTAGTCTGCTTTTTAAAAAAATTTTACTTTAGTCTATGTATCTTGCTATATTAGTAGGACAATTACACATAAATTATTTTGATCCTGATTCTACTACTTATTCTTTCATTTTTTTCTGGTTTTTATTTAATTATGATAGAAAATAGATAAGCTTTTGAGATGAAAAAAAAGATGTCTGACACCTTTTCCTAAAAATATGTTTGTCGCTGCATTGGCTTTTCATCTCAGCAGACAGACAAAGTAAGCACGTGGGTCAGTGAATGCCTTGAATGCTATGGCATGAATACAGCAAAACCAAATGTAAAATAAATAGCTCCTGCCAAAATGCAAAAGACTCTCTTTTTTTAATGAATCTAATTTTTCAGTAGTAAGTATTGAGTACGTCCACTCCTTGCCGTCCATCACAGATTGCCAATCATACATGAGCTTTTCTCTTATCTCCAAAGTTTCCAGAATCTAGACTTTAAATCCTTCTCAGGCTCAACTTCTTTAAAATAGTTTCCCAAAAGCAGGAGAGAGAGTAGGAGAAACTGTGAGAATTAGGGAAGGATAAAGAAAAGATAAAAAATGTAAGGCTAAAAGCTACAAGCTATAGGACCTAGGGATGTTGACAAAGGAGTAGACAACATCGACTGATATATGCCAAAAACTTTCAGACAGAAACCCCAAACACTCTGTCCTCTCACTGTGTAAAACTGATATATTTTCAGATGGATGTGTTTTGGAATTAGCCTAAATAATTAAGGCTAAAATGACCAACTATTCCTGTACAATTGATTTTTAAAAGCTGGTACTGGTAAATGCTAAGAAAAAAGCAGTGAACAAGCAAAGAGGAAGTTAGTTCAATTTAGAGGCATCCTTATATTCTCACCATTAATCATGATCTTAAGACTTGTTATTTTTATTTCCTCTGAGAGAATTTGAATATTCCAGGTAAGCTAGAAAACTTTTCTTGGCTTTGCCAATAAGTGACAGGGAATCACTCAGAATCTTCTTTGAAATAGGACAAAATATACACATGTAAATAAATAGTAATTAGCTCAGGATTTATCTATTTAAATAAAAAAATATAGATTGGCAATCTTACTGATGTTAAATATGAAAATCCACCAATTGTTTTAAGGCTTGTCTAATGTTTAAGGCTCTGGAAGGGGCTTGCTATTTATTCAGTAGAAAAAAAAAGTGTTAGGGAAATTATCCAAGTAAAATTAGAGACATATATAAATAGCCACACAGTATCACTAGTTCCCATGGTGATTTTTATGTTAATTTATATAACCTGCTTTGATGATCAGCCTTTAAAATTGGGGAAAAAGAATAAAAAACATCAACAATCTTTATTACCCATAAAAAAGATCCCTATATTTACATTCTAGAATCATGTAAAACACTGTGAAAATACATCCTGGTTTCCCTAGAACATACAAAAGTTGATTAATTTTCTTCCTGTTTTTTCCAGCAGTGGAATGATCAGGTACTAAACTGCTTAATTTCATAAATTCACTGAAATTTTCATTTGCTTTTAAGATCTTGATAATTAGTTCTAATATTTAACAAGTCTGTGATTTCTTGGTCATTTTTTCTGAATATTTTATAGTATATTTATAATAACTTTTTAATGACATTCTACAATGAGGATTCCTGTGATATAAAATATGTATTGCTTATAAACACTTTAAGAAAAAATAAAACTACTTACATGTGGATAAGCTGATATTGTGTTCTGTGTTCTAATCCTAAAGTTACTATTCCTACAGTTACACTTATAATCCATAAATATTGTTTCCAATCTTAGAGTATAAACAGAAAATGCTCATATTTTTTCTTCTTAAAATTTAATGTTACACTAATCTTTAATCGTGAATAACAGAACGTGAGTGAAACTTTTGTCAAAAACTAAGAGAAAATCAATATCTAAACTTGAATCAAAAGGTACTAAAAATGTCATGTTCTTTTACTCAGCAATTTGCTTTCTGAAAATACATCATAAGTAATTATTAATTTACATAAACAGGCCACTTTTAATAATAAAAATATTCAGTACAGAATTATTTATATCAGTAAAAAACTGAAGATTAAATAAATATATAATTAATGGGAAATGATTTAGTAAATTATAGAGTAGCCATCAGAGAGAAATTTAGGTTTGTTAAGTTTTTGTTAAAAACATAACACGAATGATGTTTAATATCACTAAATAATAAAAAAGTATACATGTGAACAAACACTAACAAAAATATTAAAAGAATAATTTTTCAAGAGAGGTGGGATGGCACTAATCTTCAGCACATAAATATGAATTTGTTATTACTGTGTATGGTTTTGAGAATGAAAACTGATAAAGCTGTACTTTAGTATGATTTAAGTGGTAGATATCATTGTTAGCATGTTATGTATAATGTAAATAACTCATCATCTGTATGCCAAATAACAAATTTACAATTATGGATTCACTCTGGAGTTGGGTTAAGTCCTTGTCAGACCAGAATGTAATTATTTTAATCCATTATATTCTTAGGAGATAATTAACATTTTCATGAAAATTACATATTTGACAAACTTCTGCCTTCCAGTTTTGATTTTGCAACTCCAGTTTCATAAATTTCCACGTTTTATGTCAAATCAATAATACTAGAAAAGAACATTCACTGCATGTCTTACAAAGGTTCAACTGTTTCTGCTTCTGCATCTTTTCTGTATATAGCAAAGCTATAGCACAGGTTATATAATTATAGAAGTGGCATTTATAACTGCAGGCTTTCAGTGTTGTGTAATCATATCATGCAGTGTGATATACTAAATGTAAGGTTAGAATAGGGAGACAGGCTATACTTACAGTCAAAAAGAGGCCATCAACCTAGAAGAAAAAAACAGTGACTATAGCATGAATTATGACACATCAGACTGTGTGAGGTATGTTCTTTCAACCACAACCATTAATAGCTTGTGAAACTACCATTAAAGGAATCATGTCAAAATGGTAATATTTATCAAGTGCAGGCAGATTCATATGGTATTTGTCCAATTTGGAACAATGCTACTGGAATTTCATTGACTGTTGTGAACCATAAAGGCTTTAGCCACACTTCTTCCCATAACCGCTGTTTAATATGTTACTTCACTATTTTGTCGAGATGAGTGCAGAATATTATTAAGAACCCCGAATTCTAAGTCACATTTGGGTCCTACTTTGCCATGTAAACTTGAACATGACATTTAACCTATCAAGACTTCAATTTTTAATCTAAGAAACAAGTTTTTAAAAGATAGTTATAGCATCTTTTAATAGATCTTTTTTGTTATTATTATTATTTGAGACGGAGTCTCGCTCTGTCACCCAGGCTGGAATGCAGTGGTGCCATCTTGGCTCACTGCAAGCTCCACCTCCCAGGTTCACGCCATTCTCCTGCCTCAGCCTCCCGAGCAGCTGGGACTACAGGTGCCCGCCACCACGCCTGGCTAAATTTTTTCTATTTTTTTAGTAGAGACGGGGATTCACCATGTTAGCCAGATGGTCTCGATCTCCTGACCTCGTGATCCGCCCTCCTCCGCCTCCCAAAGTGCTGGGATTACAGGCGTGAGCCACCACGCACGGCCAATAGATCATTTTTAAACTAAGATACCTCTTGGTTTTCACAGCTTGTAGCAGCATTCCCCTAACTTTATTTTTTTGTTGTTGTTTTCCTTTTTAGGAAAACAAAAGAGAAACACTTGTATTTGTTTCCCTTTTGTTAACAACTATCTCCAAAATAAAAATAAAGAAAGGAAGAAATATCAGAAGTGTTGTGTATGGGATTCACGTGAATCTTTAAGGTATGGTAAGAACAAAAGTAAAGGGGCAAAAATAAAATGATATGGCAATCAAGACTTAGGAATTTTACACTGTCTATGAG
>NW_009646198.1:35012-43347 GCF_000001405.40 Homo sapiens | reverse complement strand
AGACTGGAGCTGTTCCTATTCGGCCATCTTGGCTCCACCCCCCTATTTCGTATTTTCTGACCTACATCTCCCATTTCCTTACCCACTACATGTCCTTGGCAACCACTGTTTCATTTTCTATTTCTGTATATTTGAATTTTTAAAAAATATTTCACATCTACATGAGATCATGCAATTATTTTTCTTCCTGTGTTTGGTTTATTTCACTTAGCATAATTTCTTTTAAGCTCATCCATGTTGTGATGAATGACAATATATCATTCTCTTTTTAGGGCTGAATAATATTCCATTGTATATATTTGCTACAGTTTAAACATTTGTCCATTGATGGCCATGTAGAATGTTTCCATATCTTGGCTGTTATCAGTAATGCAGTAAATATGAGAGTGCAGACATCTTTATGAAGTGGTGATTTCACTTGCTTTGGGTATATTCCCATAAGGGGGATTGATGATAGTTCTAATTTTAATTCCTTTAGTTGCCTCCATATTGTTTCTCATAATGGCTGTACCAAGCTACATTCCTACTGACAGTGTGTAAGAATTCCCTTTTCTCTTTACCTCACCAACATTTGTTATCTTTTGACTTTTTGACAATAACCATCATAACAGGTGTAATGTGGTATCTCATAGTGATTTTGATTTGCATTCCCCAATGATTAGTGATGTTAAGCACCTTTTCATATACCTCTTGGCCATTTTTATGTCTTCTCTGGGGAAATGTCTATTCAGATCCTTTGCCCATTTTAAAATCAGCTTATTTGTTTTTTTCCAGTATTGACTATATGAGTTCTTTATAAATTTTGATTATTAATTCCTTATCAGATTTATGGTTTGCAAATATTTTTTTCCAATCCATAAGCTGCCATTTCGTTTTGTTGGTTGTTTCTTTTATTATGTAGAAGCTCATACAAGTCTGGTTGAACATACACATATCAGTCAATGTGATACATCATATTTACAGAATGAAAGGTAAAAACCACATGATCACCTCAACTGACACTGAAAAAGCTTTTGACAAAGTCCAAAATTCTTTCTTGATAAAAACTCTCAACAGTGTTAAAAATAATAAATTCAGTAAAGATACAAAATGCAAGATGCAAAATGAATATAGCAAAATCAGTAGCATTTTTATATATGAATAATGATCTAACTGAAAAAGACATCAGGAAAGCAATTCCACTTATGATAGCATAAAAAATTCCTAGGAATAAATCTAAGCAAGGAATTAGGATATCTATACATTGAAAACTCTAAAGCACTGAAAGAAATTGATGAAGACACAAATAAATACAAAGATGTCCTGTGCTCATGGAGCAGAAGAATTAATATGATTAAAATGACCATATTACCCAAAGTAATCTACAGATTTAATGCAAGCCTTATCCAAATCCTAATGGCATTCTTCACAGAAATAGAAAAAAAAATCATAAATTTTATATGGAAATGTAAAAGACCCTGAATGGCCAAAAAAATTTTGAGAAAGAAAACACTGGAGGCACCACACTTCCTGATTTAAAATATTTTACAAAGCTATGGCTCATCACAACAGTTTTATGGTACTGACATAAAAACAGACCCATAGACCAGTGGAACAGAATAGAGAGCCCAGCAGCAAACCCAAATACATGTGGTCAACTAATTTTTGACAAAGACACCAAAAAAGAACAATGGGGAAAAGGACAATTTCTTCCAATAAATGGTGCTGGGAACGTTGAATTTCCACATGCAAAATAATAAAATTGGGGGCTGGGCATGGTTACTCACACCTGTAATCCCAGACTTTGGGAGGCTGAGGTGGGAGAATTGCTTGAGCCCAGGGGTTTAAGAACAGACTAGGTGACATAGTGAGACACCATCTATAAAAAAAAAAAATTAGCTGGGCATTGTAGCACGTTCCTTAGTTCCAGCTACTTGGCAGGCTGAGACCAAAGAATCGCTTAAGCCCAGGAATTCAAGGCTGTAGTGAGCTGTGATTGCACCACTGTGCTACACTCCAGCTTGGGTGACAGAGTGAGACCCTATCAAAAAAAAAAAAAAAAAAAGAAAAGAAAAGAAAAAAATGGAATCCTCATCTTACACCATATGCAAAAATCAACTCAAAATGGATAAAAGACCTAAATAAAAAAATTGATATTTGAGAATATTCAAACCACTGAACATCAGTCATATTTAGGCTATTTATTACATTTGAAACTATGAAACTCCTAGAAGAGACAGACTATAGGAGAAAAGCTCCTAGACATTGGCCTTGGCAGTGATGTTTTAGATTTTATACCAAAAGCTCAGGTCAGAAAAGCAAAAATAAATAAGTGGGACTACATCAAGCCTTTATCCGTTTTAAAATTGAATTATATGTATTTTTATTGTTGAATTGTAAGTCTTTTTTATAGATGCAGGATACATATGCCTAACAAGATTTGGTGGCATAATATGTGAAATTAAGGTTCAATATTATGTGCTGCCTTCACACTTGGAAAAATCGCAAGGGCCTCGAATAGCGTAACTGCAGGTTCTCCTCCCCATTCTGCTGCCATAGATAAGGTCCCCTAGAAATAGCCCTGCTTATGAAATGGACCAGATGTGGTTCCTGCTTATTCATGAGTGGCAGGTTTCAATTTCTTGCCAGTCCATGGGATTTTTCCAATAAGCCAATCACATCCTCTCATGGGAACCAGGGGACGTTGCATCCTCTTCATACTACAAAGTCAGCTTCCCACAGTCCCTGTCATTCACTCTGTTTCTGAGTAAACCTCTGTGTGGCCCTGTGTGGTGTGGTGTCCTCCTCCCCTGAGATATGAGTGCATGTGACTAACAAACTGCTGTCGATCTCCTCTTTCTGGTGGCGGAAGTTGGGCCATCCCCATTACTCTGGGGTGGGAATCCCTACTTTCACCAATGAGCTGAACAGGAGGCAATCAAAACAAATTTGCAAATATTTTTTCCCATTTTGTGTGTGGTCTTTCACTTCTTTGATAGTCTCATTTGAAGCATAAAAGTTTTGAATTTTGATGAAGTCCTATTTATCTTTTTGTTTTGTTTTGTTGGTGGTTGCTTGTGCTTTTGGTCCCATATCTAAGAAGGCTTTACTTAACCCCAAATCACATAGATGCACTCCTATGTTTTCTTCTAAGAATTTATAGTTTTAGCTCTTACATTTGGTTTGTGATCCATTTGGAGTTAATTTTAGTGTGTGGTATAAGAAATGGCTTCAACCTTATTCTTTTACATGTGGATATCCAGTTATTCAATACCATTTGTTGAAGAGTATTTTCCCCCACTGAATTATTTTGGCACCTCTGCCAAAAGTTGCCCATTACCTTTTGAATAGTTTTTCTATATTTGGAGAAGTTTCCATTTTTGAGTCCCACATTTCTGCTGTAGAGTCAAAACTTAAGTTTATAGCTTTTCTTGCAGCTAAATGTGAGCATGTGTCTGAGGATTCTGTTATCACATAAGCCCATGAAAGACTCTGATACATAGGAGAGCAATATGAGCAAACAGGCTCTAGGTGGAACCACCTACCTGCTGATGAAGTGGTGGCAATGGCTACAGGGTTCCCTAGTCTTTGATGGGCGCCATGGAAGTGGTGTTTGTTTCTTTAACAAGTCAGCTGTATCTTGTTTTTTTTGCATTATATCCAAGCTCATGCTTGGGCCTTGTTCTCCAACACTTCTATGGATTATCATATGTTTTTTCTTTTTGATTAATCAGCCAATGTCAGCTTCTGTTGTTCACAACCAGCAGCCTGGGTGATATGCACTTAATGGAAAAAGAAAATAGAATTTAAGGTAATAAATTGAACTTTAACTTTGCATAGAACATGGATTTGACAATTTCTACTGGCCTTTGTGATGGGGGTTTAGGGGACTTAGAAAACAGTGTCTCTTTCAAGCCAGTCAGATGCAATTGTCTGCTGCCAAATTAAAGAAAAGCAGTGGACTCTGCAATTAAATTTGCATAGATGCTTTATATTTTCATCTCTGACCAGCTTTGCTTCAGTTATTTTCCTGTTTCAGAACTTGAGCTCTATACCATAGTTAGGCCTGTATGACATTCTCAGACCTGGTTGTACAAGTAGGCTCCCTGGTTTGACTCATTTGACTTACATCTCTTCCTTGAAGAATGGGATGTGACAGACCTCTCTGGTCCTTCACATCTAAATTATCAGCCTGTTCATCAATCCGTTAAGACCCAATCCTTGGCTCCATGTAGCTTAGCAGGTTAAAGATTGGACCTGCCTAGCCAAACTCAATCCGTTTTGCTCTAGTTCTCTGGATTCAAGGGCATGCCAATTGCTATGTGAGGCAGAGAAAAGTTGTATCTCATGAAAAATGTCACATGGAGGAAATAAAACACTGACATTTGCTGGGAGATAACAGCTATAATGAGTCAATTGAAGGGGTGAGAGAGCAGTAAGCCACCTGGTACTTTCTGACCTCTCCTTGACAGAGACCCCCAGTTCTAATCCCTCTCCTTTCTCCTGTAAAAACTTTTCGATAAGCTAGACAAATGGCTTTGCTTCTTCATGCAGATTCAAATCCTTAAGAAACAGAGCCCACCATTTGTTAATGAATTCAAAGATTTGGTCTTTTTTATGTTCTATCTGTAAAGGGATTAAACTAAATAGGTTACCGAAATCCTCTCTTCCCTGGAAATTACATATTCTGTATTTCCTACTTCTCCTCTTCACTAAATTCACACTTCAGGGCTTGGAGCTACTTATATTGGCAACCTCAGTAGCTACAAATAATGATCTTGGCATAAGTTGTGGGGTGGATGGAGGAGGAGATTTCTTTAGAGATCTTGTGAAGATGTCAAGAATGTCTCCTTTATCCAAATCAGATAGCGTTCACTCGCGTCCATTTTTGAAACACTTTTTTGTGGAATTTGCAAGTGTATATTTAGAGCGTTTTGAGGCCTACAGTAGGAAAGGAAATATCTTCACATAAAAACTAGACAGAAGTATTGTCAGAAACTTATTTGCGATATTTGCATTCAAAGCACAGAGTTGAACATTCCTCTTGATGGAGCCGTTTTGAAACACTCTTTTTGTAGAATCTGCAAGTGGATATTTGGACCTCTTTGTGGCCTTCGTTTGAAACGTGATTTCTTCATTTACAACTAGACAGAAGAATTCTCAGAAACTTCTTTGTGATGTGTACTTTCAACTCACACAGTTGAAGCTTCCTTTCAATAGAGCACTTTTGAAACTCAGTTTTTGTAGAATTTCCAGGTGGATATTTAGCGCCGTTTGAGGCCTATGGTAGAAAAGGCAATATCTTCGTAGGAAAACTAGACAGAATGATTCTCCGAAACTACTTTGTGATGTGTGGGTTCAACTCACTGAGTTTAACCTTTCTGTTGATAGACCAGTTATGAAACACTCTTTTTATAGAATCTGCAAGTAAATATTTGGACTTTCTTGAGGCCTTCATTGGAAACGGGATTTCTTCATAGAAACCTTGACAGAAGAATTCTCAGGAACTTCTTTGTGATGTGTGCATTTAACTCTCAGAGTTCAACCTTCCTTTTGGTAGAAGAGTGTTGAAATATTCTATTTGTAGAATTTCCAAGTGAATATTTAGAGCGGTTTCAGGCCTATGTAGAAGAGAAAATATCTTCACAGAAAAACTAGACACAATTGTTCTCTGAAGCTACTTTGTGATGTGCGCATTCAGCTTACAGAGTTTAACCTTTCTTTGGATCGAGCGGTTTTAAACACTCTTTTTGTGGAATTTGCAATTCTATATTTAGAGTGCTTTCAGGCCTGTGGTACAAAAGGGAATGTCTTCACATAAAATCTAGACAGAAGCATTGTCGGAAACTACTTTGTGATACCTGCCTTCAACTCTCAGAGTTGAATATTCTTCTTGATGGAGCAGTTTTGAAAAACTCTTTTTGTTGAATCTCCAAGTGGATATTTGGACCTCTTTGTGGCCTTCGTTTGAAACGTGATTTCTTCATACAAAACTAGAAAGGAGAATTCTCATAAACTTCTTTGTGATGTGTGCTTTCAACTCGCAGAGTTGAAGCTTCCTTTCGATAGAGCACTCTTGTAACTCTCTTTTTGTAGAATTTCCAAGTGGATATTTAGCGCCGTTTGAGGCCTATGGTGGAAAAGGCAATATCTTCATAGAAAAACTAGACAGAATGATTCTCAGAAACTACTTTGTGATGTGTGCGTTCAACTCACAGAGTTTAACCTTTCTTTTGATAGAGCAGTTATGAAACACTCTTTTTGTAGAACTGCAAGTGTATATTGGGACTTTTCTGAGGCCATCTTTGGAAACGGGATTTCTTCCTATAAAACTTGAAAGAAGAATCCTCAGAAAATTATTTGTGATATGTGCATTTAACTCATGGAGTTGAAACTTCCTTTCGATAGAAGAGTTTTGAAATACTCTTTTTGTAGAATTTCCAAGTGGATTTTTACAGCGGTGTGAGGTCTATGGCAGAAAAAGAAATATCTTCACAGAAAAACTAGGCAGATTCATTCTCCGAAGCTGTTTTGTGATGCTTGCATTAGGCTTACAGAGTTTAAACTTCCTTTGATAGAGCAGTTTTGAAACACTCTTTTTGTGGAATTTGCAACTGTATATTTAGAGCGTTTTGAGGCCTACAGTAGGAAAGGAAATATCTTCACATAAAAACTAGACAGAAGTATTTTCAGAAACTTATTTGTGATATTTGCATGGAACGCACAGAGTTGAACATTCCTCTTGATGGAGTAGTTTTGAAACACTCTTTTTGTAGAATCTGCAAGTGGATATTTGGACCGCTTAGTGGCCGTCCTTTGAAACGTGATTTCTTCATTTACAACTAGACAGAAGAATTCTCAGAAACTTCTTTGTGATGTGTACCTTCAACTCACAGAGTTGAAGCTTCCTTTCAATAGAGCACTTTTGAAACTCAGTTTTTGTAGAATTTCCAGGTGGATATTTAGCGCCGTTTGAGGCCTATGGTAGAAAAGGCAATATCTTCGTAGGAAAACTAGACAGAATGATTCTCAGAAACTACTTTGTGATGTGTGGGTTCAACTCACTGAGTTTAACCTTTCTTTTGATAGACCAGTTATGAAACACTCTTTTTGTAGAATCTGCAAGTAAATATTTGGACTTTTTTGAGGCCTTCATTGGAAACGGGATTTCTTCATAGAAACCTTGACAGAAGAATTCTCAGAAACTTCTTTGTGATGTGCACCTTCAACTCACAGAGTTGAAGCTTCCTTTCAATAGAGCACTTTTGAAACTCAGTTTTTGTAGAATTTCCAGGTGGATATTTAGCGCCGTTTGAGGCCTATGGTAGAAAAGGCAATATCTTCGTAGGAAAACTAGACAGAATGATTCTCAGAAACTACTTTGTGATGTGTGGGTTCAACTCACTGAGTTTAACCTTTCTGTTGATAGACCAGTTATGAAACACTCTTTTTGTAGAATCTGCAAGTAAATATTTGGACTTTTTTGAGGCCTTCATTGGAAACGGGATTTCTTCATAGAAACCTTGACAGAAGAATTCTCAGAAACTTCTTTGTGATGTGTGCATTTAACTCTCAGAGTTCAACCTTCCTTTTGATAGAAGAGTGTTGAAATATTCGTTTTGTAGAATTTCCAAGTGAATATTTAGAGCGGTTTCAGGCCTATGTAGAAGAGAAAATATCTTCACAGAAAAACTAGACACAATTGTTCTCTGAAGCTACTTTGTGATGTGCGCATTCAGCTTACAGAGTTTAACCTTTCTTTGGATCGAGCGGTTTTAAACACTCTTTTTGTGGAATTTGCAATTCTATATTTAGAGTGCTTTCAGGCCTGTGGTACAAAAGGGAATGTCTTCACATAAAATCTAGACAGAAGTATTGTCGGAAACTACTGTGTGATACCTGCCTTCAACTCTCAGAGTTGAATATTCCTCTTGATGGAGCAGTTTTGAAAAACTCTTTTTGTTGAATCTCCAAGTGGATATTTGGACCTCTTTGTGGCCTTCGTTTGAAACGTGACTTCTTCATACAAAACTAGACAGAAGAATTCTCATAAACTTCTTTGGGATGTGTGCTTGCAACTCGCAGAGTTGAAGCTTCCTTTCGATAGAGCAGTCTTGTAACTCTCTGTTTGTAGAATTTCCAAGTGGATATTTAGCGCCGTTTGAGGCCTATGGTGGAAAAGGCAATATCTTCATAGAAAAACTAGACAGAATGATTCTCAGAAACTACTTTGTGATGTGTGCCTTCAACTCACAGAGTTTAACCTTTCTTTTGATAGAGCAGTTTTGAAAAACTCTTTTTGTAGAATCTGCAAGTGTATATTGGGACTTTTCTGAGGCCATCTTGGAAACGGGAT
>NW_009646198.1:29272-34453 GCF_000001405.40 Homo sapiens | reverse complement strand
AACCTTCCTTTTGATAGAAGAGTGTTGAAATATTCTTTTTGTAGAATTCCCAAGTGAATATTTAGAGCGGTTTCAGGCCTATGTAGAAGAGAAAATATCTTCACAGAAAAACTAGACACAATTGTTCTCTGAAGCTTCTTTGTGATGTGCGCATTCAGCTTACAGAGTTTAACCTTTCTTTGGATCGAGCGGTTTTAAACACTCTTTTTGTGGAATTTGCAATTCTATATTTAGAGTGCTTTCAGGCCTGTGGTACAAAAGGGAATGTCTTCACATAAAATCTAGACAGAAGCATTGTCGGAAACTACTTTGTGATACCTGCCTTCAACTCTCAGAGTTGAATATTCCTCTTGATGGAGCAGTTTTGAAAAACTCTTTTTGTTGAATCTCCAAGTGGATATTTGGACCTCTTTGTGGCCTTCGTTTGAAACGTGACTTCTTCATACAAAACTAGACAGAAGAATTCTCATAAACTTCTTTGTGATGTGTGCTTTCAACTCGCAGAGTTGAAGCTTCCTTTCGATAGAGCAGTCTTGTAACTCTCTTTTTGTAGAATTTCCAAGTGGATATTTAGCGCCGTTTGAGGCCTATGGTGGAAAAGGCAATATCTTCATAGAAAAACTAGACAGAATGATTCTCAGAAACTACTTTGTGATGTGTGCCTTCAACTCACAGAGTTTAACCTTTCTTTTGATAGAGCAGTTTTGAAAAACTCTTTTTGTAGAACTGCAAGTGTATATTGGGACTTTTCTGAGGCCATCTTTGGAAACGGGATTTCTTCCTATAAAACTTGAAAGAAGAATCCTCAGAAAATTATTTGTGATATGTGCATTTAACTCATGGAGTTGAAACTTCCTTTCGATAGAAGAGTTTTGAAATACTCTTTTTGTAGAATTTCCAAGTGGATTTTTACAGCGGTGTGAGGTCTATGGCAGAAAAAGAAATATCTTCACAGAAAAACTAGGCAGATTCATTCTCCGAAGCTGTTTTGTGATGCTTGCCTTAGGCTTACAGAGTTTAAACTTTCTTTGATAGAGCAGTTTTGAAACACTCTTTTTGTGGAATTTGCAACTGTATATTTAGAGCGTTTTGAGGCCTACAGTAGGAAAGGAAATATCTTCACATAAAAACTAGACAGAAGTATTTTCAGAAACTTATTTGTGATATTTGCATGCAACGCACAGAGTTGAACATTCCTCTTGATGGAGCAGTTTTGAAACACTCTTTTTGTAGAATCTGCAAGTGAATATTTGGACCTCTTTGAGGCCTTCATTGGAAACGGGATTTCTTCATAGAAACTAGACAGAAGAATTCTCAGAAACTTCTTTGTGATATTTACCTTCAACTCACAGAGTTGAAGCTTCCTTTCAATAGAGCACTTTTGAAACTCAGTTTTTGTAGAATTTCCCAGGGTGGATATTTAGCGCCGTTTGAGGCCTATGGGTAGAAAAGGCAAATATCTTCGTAGGAAAACTAGACAGAATGATTCTCAGAAACTACTTTTGTGATGTGTGGGTTCAACTCACTGAGTTTAACCTTTTCTGTTGATAGACCAGTTATGAAACACTCTTTTTGTAGAATCTGCAAGTAAATATTTGGACTTTTTTGAGGCCTTCATTGGAAACGGGATTTCTTCATAGAAACCTTGACAGAAGAATTCTCAGAAACTTCTTTGTGATGTGTGCATTTAACTCTCAGAGTTCAACCTTCCTTTTGATAGAAGAGTGTTGAAATATTCGTTTTGTAGAATTTCCAAGTGAATATTTAGAGCGGTTTCAGGCCTATGTAGAAGAGAAAATATCTTCACAGAAAAACTAGACACAATTGTTCTCTGAAGCTACTTTGTGATGTGCGCATTCAGCTTACAGAGTTTAACCTTTCTTTGGATCCAGCGGTTTTAAACACTCTTTTTGTGGAATTTGCAATTCTATATTTAGAGTGCTTTCAGGCCTGTGGTACAAAAGGGAATGTCTTCACATAAAATCTAGACAGAAGTATTGTCGGAAACTACTGTGTGATACCTGCCTTCAACTCTCAGAGTTGAATATTCCTCTTGATGGAGCAGTTTTGAAAAACTCTTTTTGTTGAATCTCCAAGTGGATATTTGGACCTCTTTGTGGCCTTCGTTTGAAACGTGACTTCTTCATACAAAACTAGACAGAAGAATCTCATAAACTTCTTTGGGATGTGTGCTTGCAACTCGCAGAGTTGAAGCTTCCTTTCGATAGAGCAGTCTTGTAACTCTCTGTTTGTAGAATTTCCAAGTGGATATTTAGCGCCGTTTGAGGCCCTATGGTGGAAAAGGCAATATCTTCATAGAAAAACTAGACAGAATGATTCTCAGAAACTACTTTGTGATGTGTGCCTTCAACTCACAGAGTTTAACCTTTCTTTTGATAGAGCAGTTTTGAAAAACTCTTTTTGTAGAATCTGCAAGTGTATATTGGGACTTTTCTGAGGCCATCTTTGGAAACGGGATTTCTTCCTATAAAACTTGAAAGAAGAATCCTCAGAAAATTATTTGTGATATGTGCATTTAACTCATGGAGTTGAAACTTCCTTTCGATAGAAGAGTTTTGAAATACTCTTTTTGTAGAATTTCCAAGTGGATTTTTACAGCGGTGTGAGGTCTATGGCAGAAAAAGAAATATCTTCACAGAAAAACTAGGCAGATTCATTCTCCGAAGCTGTTTTGCGATGCTTGCATTAAGCTTACAGAGTTTAAGCTTCCTTTGATAGAGCAGTTTTGAGACACTCTTTTTGTGGAATTTGCAAGTGTATATTTAGAGCGTTTTGAGGCCTACAGTAGGAAAGGAAATATCTTCACATAAAAACTAGACAGAAGTATTGTCAGAAACTTATTTGTGATATTTGCATTCAACGCACAGAGTTGAACATTCCTCGTGATGGAGCAGTTTTGAAACACTCTTTTTGTAGAATCTGCAAGTGAATATTTGGACCTCTTTGTGGCCTTCGTTTGAAACGTGATTTTTTCATTTACAACTAGACAGAAGAATTCTCAGAAACTTCTTTGTGATGTGTACCTTCAACTCACAGAGTTGAAGCTTCCTTTCAATAGAGCACTTTTGAAACTCAGTTTTTGTAGAATTTCCAGGTGGATATTTAGCGCTGTTTGAGGCCTATGGTAGAAAAGGCAATATCTTCATAGGAAAACTAGACAGAATGATTCTCAGAAACTACTTTGTGATGTGTGGGTTCAACTCACTGAGTTTAACCTTTCTTTTGATAGACCAGTTATGAAACACTCTTTGTGTAGAATCTGCAAGTAAATATTTGGACTTTTTTGAGGCCTTCATTGGAAACGGGATTTCTTCATAGAAACCTTGACAGAAGAATTCTCAGAAACTTCTTTGTGATGTGTGCATTTAACTCTCAGAGTTCAACCTTCCTTTTGATAGAAGAGTGTTGAAATATTCTTTTTGTAGAATTTCCAAGTGAATATTTAGAGCGGTTTCAGGCCTATGTAGAAGAGAAAATATCTTCACAGAAAAACTAGACACAATTGTTCTCTGAAGCTACTTTGTGATGTGCGCATTCAGCTTACAGAGTTTAACCTTTCTTTGGATAGAGCGGTTTTAAACACTCTTTTTGTGGAATTTGCAATTCTATATTTAGAGTGCTTTCAGGCCTGTGGTACAAAAGGGAATGTCTTCACATAAAATCTAGACAGAAGCATTGTCGGGAACTACTTTGGGATACCTGCCTTCAACTCTCAGAGTTGAATATTCCTCTTGATGGAGCAGTTTTGAAAAACTCTTTTTGTTGAATCTCCAAGTGGATATTTGGACCTCTTTGTGGCCTTCGTTTGAAACGTGACTTCTTCATACAAAACTAGACAGAAGAATTCCCATAAACTTCTTTGTGATGTGTGCTTTCAACTCGCAGAGTTGAAGCTTCCTTTCGATAGAGCAGTCTTGTAACTCTCTTTTTGAAGAATTTCCAAGTGGATATTTAGTGCCGTTTGGGGCCTATGGTGGAAAAGGCAATATCTTCATAGAAAAACTAGACAGAATGATTCTCAGAAACTACTTTGTGATGTGTGCCTTCAACTCACTGAGTTTAACCTTTCTTTTGATAGAGCAGTTTTGAAAAACTCTTTTTGTAGAATCTGCAAGTGTATATTGGGACTTTTCTGAGGCCATCTTTGGAAACGGGATTTCTTCATATAAAACTTGAAAGAAGAATCCTCAGAAAATTATTTGTGATATGTGCATTTAACTCATGGAGTTGAAACTTCCTTTCGATAGAAGAGTTTTGAAATACTCTTTTTGTAGTATTTCCATGTGGATTTTTACAGCGGTGTGAGGTCTATGGCAGAAAAAGAAATATCTTCACAGAAAAACTAGGCAGATTCATTCTCCGAAGCTGTTTTGTGATGCTTGCATTAAGCTTACAGAGTTTAAGCTTCCTTTGATAGAGCAGTTTTGAAACACCCTTTTGTGGAATTTGCAAGTGTATATTTAGAGCGTTTTGAGGCCTACAGTAGGAAAGGAAATATCTTCACATAAAAAATAGACAGAAGTATTGTCAGAAACTTATTTGTGATATTTGCATTCAACGCACAGAGTTGAACATTCCTCGTGATGGAGCAGTTTTGAAACACTCTTTTTGTAGAATCTACAAGTGAATATTTGGACCTCTTTGTGGCCTTCGTTTGAAACGTGATTTATTCATTTAAAACTAGACAGAAGAATTCTCAGAAACTACTTTGTGATGTGTACATTCAACTCACAGACTTGAAGCTTCCTTTCAATAGAGCAATTTTGAAACTCAGTTTTTGTAGAATTTCCAGGTGGATATTTAGCGCTGTTTGAGGCCTATGGTAGAAAAGGCAATATCTTCATAGGAAAACTAGACAGAATGATTCTCAGAAACTACTTTGTGATGTGTGGGTTCAACTCACTGAGTTTAACCTTTCTTTTGATAGACCAGTTATGAAACATTCTTTGTGTAGAATCTGCAAGTAAATATTTGGACTTTTTTGAGGCCTTCATTGGAAACGGGATTTCTTCATATAAACCTTGACAGAAGAATTCTCAGAAACTTCTTTGTGATGTGTGCATTTAACTCTCAGAGTTCAACCTTTCTTTTGATAGAAGAGTGTTGAAATATTCTTTTTGTAGAATTTCCAGTGAATATTTAGAGCGGGTTCAGGCCTAT
>NW_009646198.1:12458-17659 GCF_000001405.40 Homo sapiens | reverse complement strand
GAAACTTATTTGTGATATTTGCATTCAACGCACAGAGTTGAACATCCTCTTGGGGAGCAGTTTGAAACACTCTTTTTGTAGAATCTGCAAGTGGATATTTGGACCTCTTTGTGGCCTTCGTTTGAAACGTGATTTCTTCATTTACAAGTAGACAGAAGTATTCTCAGAAACTTCTTTGTGATGTGTACCTTCAACTCACAGTGGTGAAGCTTCCTTTCAATAGAGCACTTTTGAAACTCAGTTTTTGTAGAATTTCCAGGTGGATATTTAGCGCCGTTTTAGGCCTATGGTAGAAAAGGCTATATCTTCGTAGGAGAACTAGACAGAATGATTCTCAGAAACTACTTTGTGATGTGTGGGTTCAACTCACTGAGTTTAACCTTTCTTTTACTAGACCAGTTATGAAACACTCTTTTTGTAGAATTTGCAAGTAAATATTTGGACTTTTTTGAGGCCTTCATTGGAAACGGGATTTCTTCATAGAAACCTTGACAGAAGAATTCTCAGAAACTTCTTTGTGATGTGTGCATTTTACTCTCAGAGTTCAACCTTCCTTTTGATAGAAGAGTGTTGAAATATTCTTTTTGTAGAATTTCCAAGAGTATATTTAGAGCGGTTTCAGGCCTATGTAGAAGAGAAAATATCTTCACAGAAAAACTAGACACAATTGTTCTCTGAAGCTACTTTGTGATGTGCGCATTCAGCTTACAGAGTTTAACCTTTCTTTGGATCGAGCGGTTTTAAACACTCTTTTTGTGGAATTTGCAATTCTATATTTAGAGTGCTTTCAGGCCTGTGGTACTAAAGGGAATGTCTTCACATAAAATCTATACAGAAGCATTGTCGGGAACTACTTTGGGATACCTGCCTTCAACTCTCAGAGTTGAATATTCCTCTTGATGGACCATTTTTGAAAAACTCTTTTTGTTGAATCTCCAAGTGGATATTTGGACCTCTTTGTGGCCTTCGTTTGAAACGTGACTTCTTCATAGAAAACTAGACAGAAGAATTCTCATAAACTACTTTGTGATGTGTGCCTTCAACTCACAAAGTTTAAACTTTCTTTTGATAGAGCAGTTTTGAAAATCTCTTTTTGTAGAATCTGCAAGTGTATATTGGGACTTTTCTGAGGCCATCTTTGGAAACTGGATTTCTTCATATAAAACTTGAAAGAAGAATCCTCAGAAAATTATTTGTGATATGTGCATTTAACTCATGGAGTTGAAACTTCCTTTCGATAGAAGAGTTTTGAAATACTCTTTTTGTAGAATTTCCAAGTGGATTTTTACAGCGGTGTGAGGTCTATGGCAGAAAAAGAAATATCTTCACAGAAAAACTAGGCAGATTCATTCTCCGAAGCTGTTTTGTGATGCTTGCATTAGGCTTACAGAGTTTAAAGTTCCTTTGATAGAGCAGTTTTGAAACACTCTTTTTGTGGAATTTGCAAGTGTATATTTAGAGCGTTTTGAGGCCTACAGTAGGAAAGGAAATATCTTCACATAAAAACTAGACAGAAGTATTGTCAGAAACTTATTTGTGATATTTGCATTCAACGCACAGAGTTGAACATTCCTCTTGATGGAGCACTTTTGAAACACTCTTTTTGTAGAATCTGCAAGTGTATATTTGGACCTCTTTGTGGCCTTCGTTTGAAACGTGATTTCTTCATTTACAACTATACTGAAGAATTCTCAGAAACTTCTTTGTGATGTGTACCTTCAACTCACAGAGTTGAAGCTTCCTTTCAATAGAGCACTTTGAAACTCAGTTTTTGTAGAATTTCCAGGTGGATATTTAGCGCCGTTTGAGGCCTATGGTAGAAAAGGCCATATCTTCGTAGGAAAACTAGACAGAATGATTCTCAGAAACTACTTTGTGATGTGTGCATTCAACTCACTGAGGTTAACCTTTCTTTGGATAGACCAGTTATGAAACACTCTTTTTGTAGAATCTGCAAGTAAATATTTGGACTTTCTTGAGGCCTTCATTGGAAACGGGATTCCTTCATAGAAACCTTGACAGAGGGATTCTCAGAAACTTCTTTGTGATGTGTGCATTTAACTCTCAGAGTTCAACCTTCCTTTTGATAGAAGAGTGTTGAAATATTCTTTTTATAGAATTTCCAGGTGAATATTTAGAGCAGTTTCAGGCCTATGTAGAAGAGAAAATATCTTCACAGAAAAACTAGACACAATTGTTCTCTGAAGCTACTTTGTGATGTGCGCATTCACCTTACAGGGTTTAACCTTTCTTTGGATCGAGCGGTTTTAAACACTCTGTTTGTGTATTTTGCAATTCTATATTTAGAGTGATTTCAGGCCTGTGGTACAAAAGGGAATGTCTTCACATAAAATCTAGACAGAAGCATTGTCGGAAACTACTTTGTGATACCTGCCTTCAACTCTCAGAGTTGAATATTCCTCTTGATGGAGCAGTTTTGAAAAAGTCTTTTTGTTGAATCTACAAGTGGATATTTGGACCTCTTTGTGGCCTTCGTTTGAAAAGTGACTTCTTCAAACAAAACTAGACAGAAGAATTCTCATAAACTTCTTTGGGATGTGTGCCTGCAACTCGCAGAGTTGAAGATTCCTTTCGATAGAGCAGTCTTGTAACTCTCTTTTTGTAGAATTTCCAAGTGGATATTTAGCGCCGTTTGAGGCCTATGGTGGAAAAGGCAATATCTTCATAGAAAAACTAGACAGAATGATTCTCAGAAACTAATTTGTGATGTGTGCCTTCAACTCACAGAGTTTAACCTTTGTTTTGATAGAGCAGTTTTGAAAAACTCTTTTTGTAGAATCTGCAAGTGTATATTGGGACTTTTCTGAGGCCATCTTTGGAAACGGGATTTCTTCATATAAAACTTGAAGGAAGAATCCTCAGAAAATTATTTGTGATATGTGCATTTAACTCATGGAGTTGAAACTTCCTTTCGATAGAAGAGTTTTGAAATACTCTTTTTGTAGAATTTCCAAGTGGATTTTTACAGCGGTGTGAGGTCTATTGCAGAACAAGAAATATCTTCACCGAAAAACTAGGCAGATTCATTCTCCGAAGCAGTTTTGTGATGCTTGCATTAAGATTACAGAGTTTAAAATTCCTTTGATAGAGCAGTTTTGAAACACTCTTTTTGTGGATTTTGCAAGTGTATATTTAGAGCGTTTTCAGGCCTACAGTAGGAAAGGAAATATCTTCACATAAAAACTAGACAGAATTATTGTCAGAAACTTATTTGTGATATTTGCATTCAACGCACAGAGTTGAACATTCCTCTTGATGGAGCCGTTTTGAAACACTCTTTTTGTAGAATCTGCAAGTGGATATTTGGACCTCTTTGTGGCCTTCGTTTGAAACGTGATTTCTTCATTTACAACTAGACAGAAGAATTTTCAGAAACTTCTTTGTGATGTGTACCTTCAACTCACAGAGTTGAAGCTTCCTTTCAATAGAGCACTTTGAAACTCAGTTTTGGTAGAATTTCCAGGTGGATATTTAGCGCCGTTTGAGGCCTATGGTAGAAAAGGCCATATCTTCGTAGGAAAACTAGACAGAATGATTCTCAGACACTACTTTGTGATGTGTGGGTTCAACTCACTGAGTTTAACCTTTCTTTTGATAGACCAGTTATGAAACACTCTTTTTGTAGAATCTGCAAGTAAATATTTGGACTTTCTTGAGGCCTTCATTGGAAACGGGATTTCTTCATATAAGCCCTTAACAGAAGAATTCTCAGAAACTTCTTTGTGATGTGTGCATTTAACTCTCAGATTTCAACCTTCCTTTTGATAGAAGAGTGTTGAAATATTCTTTTTGTAGAATTTCCAAGAGTATATTTAGAGCGGTTTCAGGCCTATGTAGAAGAGAAAATATCTTCACAGAAAAACTAGACACAATTGTTCTCTGAAGCTACTTTGTGATGTGCGCATTCAGCTTACAGAGTTTAACCTTTCTTTGGATCGAGCGGTTTTAAACACTCTTTTTGTGGAATTTGCAATTCTATATTTAGAGTGCTTTCAGGCCTGTGGTACTAAAGGGAATGTCTTCACATAAAATCTACACAGAAGCATTGTCGGAAACTACTTTGTGATACCTGCCTTCAACTCTCAGAGTTGAATATTCTTCTTGATGGAGCAGTTTTGAAAAACTCTTTTTGTTGAATCTCCAAGTGGATATTTGGACCTCTCTGTGGCCTTCGTTTGAAACGTGACTTCTTCATAGAAAACTAGACAGAAGAATTCTCATAAACTTCTTTGGGATGTGTGCTTGCAACTCACAGTGTTGAAGCTTCCTTTCGATAGAGCATTCTTGTAAGACTCTTTTTGTAGAATTTCCAAGTGGATATTTAGCGCCGCTTGAGGCCTATGGTGGAAAAGGCAATATCTTCATAGAAAAACTAGACAGAATGATTCTCAGAAACTAATTTGTGATGTGTGCCTTCAACTCACAGAGTTTAACCTTTGTTTGATAGAGCAGTTTTGAAAAACTCTTTTTGTAGAATCTGCAAGTGTATATTGGGACTTTTCTGAGGCCATCTTTGGAAACGGGATTTCTTCATATAAAACTTGAAGGAAGAATCCTCAGAAAATTATTTGTGATATGTGCATTTAACTCATGGAGTTGAAACTTCCTTTCGATAGAAGAGTTTTGAAATACTCTTTTTGTAGAATTTCCAAGTGGATTTTTACAGCGGTGTGAGGTCTATTGCAGAACAAGAAATATCTTCACCGAAAAACTAGGCAGATTCATTCTCCGAAGCTGTTTTGTGATGCTTGCATTCAGCTGACAGAGATTAAACTTCCTTTGATAGAGCAGTTTGGAAACACTCTTTTTGTGGTGTTTGCAAGTGTTTATTTAGAGCGTTTTGAGGCCTACAGTAGGAAAGGAAATATCTTCACATAAAAACTAGACAGAAGTATTGTCAGAAACTTATTTGTGATATTTGCATTCAACGCCCAGAGTTGAACATTCCTCTTGATGGAGCCGTTTTGAAACACTCTTTTTGTAGAATCTGCAAGTGGATATTTGGACCTCTTTGTGGCCTTCGTTTGAAACGTGATTTCTTCATTTACAACTAGACAGAAGAATTCTCAGAAACTTCTTTGTGATGTGTACCTTCAACTCACAGAGTTGAAGCTTCCTTTCAATAGAGCACTTTGAAACTCAGTTTTTGTAGAATTTCCAGGTGGATATTTAGCGCCGTT
>NW_009646198.1:8699-10168 GCF_000001405.40 Homo sapiens | reverse complement strand
GAGCACTTTTGAAAATCAGTTTCTGTAGAATTTCCAGGTGGATATTTAGCGCCGTTTGAGGCCTATGGTAGAAAAGGCCATATATTTGTAGGAAAACTAGACAGAATGATTCTCAGACACTACTTTGTGTTGTGTGGGTTCAACTCACTGAGTTTAACCTTTCTTTTGATAGACCAGTTATGAAACACTCTTTTTGTAGAATCTGCAAGTAAATATTTGGACTTTCTTGAGGCCTTCATTGGAAACGGGATTTCTTCATATAAACCTTGGCAGAAGAATTCTCAGAAACTTCTTTGTGATGTGTGCATTTAACTCTCAGAGTTCAACCTTCCTTTTGATAGAAGAGTGTTGAAATATTCTTCTTGTAGAATTTCCAAGTGAATATTTAGAGCGGTTTCAGGCCTATGTAGAAGAGAAAATGTCTTCACAGAAAAACTAGACACATTTGTTCTCTGAAGCTACTTTGTGATTTGTGCATTCAGCTTACAGAGATTAACCTTTCTTTGGATCGAGCGGTTTTAAACACTCTTTTTGTGGAATTTGCAATTCTATATTTAGAGTGCTTTCAGGCCTGTGGTACAAAAGGGAATGTCTTCACATAAAATCTAGACAGAAGCATTGTCGGAAACTACTTTGTGATACCTGCCTTCAACTCTCCGAGTTGAATATTCCTCGTGATGGAGCAGTTTTGAAAAACTCTTTTTGTTGAATCTCCAAGTGGATATTTGGGCCTCTTTGTGGTCTTCGTTTCAAACGTGACTTCTTCATACAAAACTAGACAGAAGAATTCTCATAAACTACTTTGGGATGTGTGCTTGCAACTCGCAGAGTTGAAGCCTTCTTTTGATAGAGCAGTCTTGTAACTCTCTTTTTGTAGAATTTCCAAGTGGATCTTTAGCGCCGTTTGAGGCCTATGGTGGAAAAGGCAATATCTTCATAGAAAAACTAGACAGAATGATTCTCAGAAACTACTTTGTGATGTGTGCCTTCAACTCACAGAGTTTAACCTTTCTTTTGATAGAGCAGTTTTGGAAAACTCTTTTTGTAGAATCTGCAAGTGTTTATTGGGACTTTTCTGAGGCCATCTTTGGAAACGGGATTTCTTCATATAAAACTTGAAAGAAGAATCCTCAGAAAATTATTTGTGATATGTGCATTTAACTCATGGAGTTGAAACTTCCTTTCGATAGAAGAGTTTTGAAATACTCTTTTTGTAGAATTTCCAAGTGGATTTTTACAGCGGTGTGAGGTCTATGGCAGAAAAAGAAATATCTTCACAGAAAAACTAGGCAGATTCATTCTCCGAAGCTGTTTTGTGATGCTTGCATTAAGCTTACAGAGTTTAAAGTTCCTTTGATAGAGCAGTTTTGAAACACTCTTCTTGTGGAATTTGCAAGTGTATATTTAGAGCGGTTTGAGGCCCACAGTAGGAAAGGAAATATCTTCACATAAAAACTAGACAGAAGTAT
>NW_009646198.1:0-2183 GCF_000001405.40 Homo sapiens | reverse complement strand
AATTGTTCTCTGAGCCACTTTGTGAAGTGCGCATTCAGCTGACAGAGTTTAAGCTTTCTTTGCATAGAGCGGTTTTAAACACTCTTTTTGGGGAATTTGCAATTCTATATTTATAGTGCTTTCAGGCCTGTCGTACAAAAGGGAATGTCTTCACATAAAATGTAGACCGAAGCATTTTCGGAAACTACTTTGTGATACCTGCCTTCAACTCTCAGAGTTGAATATTCCTCTTGATGGAGCAGTTTTGAAAAACTCTTTTTGATGAATCTCCAAGTGGACCTTTGGACCTCTTTGTGGCCTTCGTTTGAAACGTGACTTCTTCATACAAAACTAGACAGAAGAATTCTCATAAACTTCTTCGTGATGTGTGCTTTCAACTCGCTGAGTTGAAGCTTCCTTTCGACAGAGCAGTCTTGTAACTCTCTTTTTGTAGAATTTCCAAGGGGATATTTAGCGCCGTTTGAGGCCTATGGTGGAAAAGGCAATATCTTCATAGAAAAACTAGACAGAATGATTCTCAGAAACTACTTTGTGATGTGTGCCTTCAACTCACAGAGTTCAACCTTTCTTTTGATAGAGCAGTTTTGAAAAACTCTTTTTGTAGAATCTGCAAGTGTATATTGGGACTTTTCTGAGGCCATCTTTGGATACGGGATTTCTTCATATAAAACTTGGAAGAAGAATCCTCAGAAAATTATTTGTGATATGTGCATTTAACTCATGGAGTTGAAACTTCCTTTTGATAGAAGAGTTTTGAAATACTCTTTTTGTAGAATTTCCAAGTGGATTTTTACAGCGGTTTGAGGTCTATGGCAGAAAAAGAAATATCTTCACAGAAAAACTAGGCAGATTCATTCTCCGAAGCTGTTTTGTGATGCTTGCATTAAGCTTACAGAGTTTAAACTTCCTTTGATAGAGCAGTTTGGAAACACTGTTTTTGGAGAATTTGCAAGTGTATATTTAGAGCGTTTTGAGGCCTACAGTAGGCAAGGAAATATCTTCACATAAAAACTAGACAGAAGTATTGTCAGAAACTTATTTGTGATATTTGCATTCAACGCACCGAGTTGAACATTCCTCTTGATGGAGCAGTTTTGAAACACTCCTTTTGTAGAATCTGCAAGTGGATATTTGGACCTCTTTGTGGCCTTCGTTTGAAACGTGATTTCTTCATTTACAACTAGACAGAAGAATTCTCAGAAACTTCTTTGTGATGTGTACCTTCAACTCACAGAGTTGAAGCTTCCTTTCAACAGAGCACTTTTTAAACTCAGTTTTTGAAGAATTTCCAGGTGGATATTTAGCGCCGTTTGAGGCCTATGGTAGAAAAGGCAATATCTTCGTAGGAGGACTAGACAGAATGTTTCTCAGAAGCTACTTTGTGATGTGTGGGTTCAACTCACTGAGTTTAACCTTTCTTTTGATAGACCAGTTATGAAACACTCTTTTTGTAGGATCTGCAAGTAAATATTTTGACTTTTTTGAGGCCTTCATTGGAAACGGGGTTTCTTCATATAAACCTTGACAGAAGAATTCTCAGACACTTCTCTGTGATGTGTGCGTTTAACTCTCAGAGTGCATCCTTCCTTTTGATAGAAGAGGGTTGAAATATTCCTTTTGAAGAATTTCCAAGTGAATATTTGGAGCGGTTTCAGGCCTATGTAGAAGAGAAAATATCTTCACAGAAAAACTAGACATAATTGTTCTCTGAAGCCACTCTGTGATGTGCGCATTCAGCTGACAGAGTTTAAGCTTTCTTTGGATAGATCGGATTTAAACACTCTTTTTGTGGAATTTGCAATTCTATATTTAGAGTGCTTTCAGGCCTGTGGTACGAAAGGGAATGTCTTCACATAAAATCTAGACAGAAGCATTGTCGGAAACTACTTTGTGATACCTGCCTTCAACTCTCAGAGTTGAATATTCCTCTTGATGGAGCAGTTTTGAAAAACTCTTTTTGTTGAATCTCCAAGTGGACATTTGGACCTCTTTGTGGCCTTCGTTTGAAACGTGACTTCTTCATACAAAACTAGACAGAAGAATTCTCATAAACTTCTTCTTGATGTGTGCTTTCAACTCGCTGAGTTGAAGCTTCCTTTCGACAGAGCAGTCTTGTAACTCTCTTTTTGTAGAATTTCCAAGGGGATATTTAGCGCCGTTTGAGGCCTATGGTGGAAAAGGCA